>NC_000013.11:82993325-83146166 GCF_000001405.40 Homo sapiens
TTAAAATACAAAATGAAGGAAAACTGTAACAATAAATGTTAACTATACAGAGAATAAATATTCATCAAGGGCCAATACGTTACTATTTTGGTAGTAACTATTCAGGAATGACTGCTATGAACTGAACAGTACTCTTCCCAAATTCGTAAGTTGAAGCCTTAACCTCCAGTGTGACTGTATTGGAGACAGAGGTTACAAAAGACTATGGCCTTATAAGAACAAAAAGATCTCTCTTTCTTTCTCTCCCTCTCCACACCAGGTGAGGACACAGTAAGAAGGCAGCCATCTGCAAGCCAGTGAGAGAGCCCTCACCACCCTGAACATGTGGAAACACCGATCTCAGGCTTTCAGCCTCCTGACTGTGAGAAAACAAATTTCTATTGTTTAAGCCATCCAGTCTGTAGTATTTTGTTTTGGAAACCTGAGCTGACTAATACAATGACCAATACATTATGTAAAGCAACATAATCTTTATAGAGAGCATAAATTAAAATTGTATGTAATATAAATATTACTTCCTTTAGATTGAATTTTTGTCATATGCTATAACATAGAAAAAGAAAAAAATCACATTTTTAGTAATTCCTGCATATTATATTTCAAATTTTATTTCAGTGATGGTAATTCTGAAACATATATGGAGATATATAAATATGTTTCTTGTTAGTATATAAAAAAAAGTTGCTATTTAGAATACTAATGATTTTGTCCTGAAAAATGAGGAAGCCCCTAGAGAGGAAACTGAATTTCTCTAAATAAGAAACCAGAAAATGTTAACCCCCAAGAAGGAAATTAAACAAGAAATCATTATGAAACTAACTTGAGAAGCCAAAAGAGAGATCAAGTAGTATTAGCAAAATGAATAGTGGATGTCTATGTGCTCTATAATGTGGCCAAGGAATTAGCTAAGCTTCTTTTTTGATTTAAAAATAGTGAGACTATAATATTAAGACAAGAAGAACCAGTCACAGAACTTGCTAATGTGGGTGCCATGGAGGACATGAGAAATTAGTGAAAAATAATGAAAAAGACTTGACTTTCAAAGTAGTTGGAATTTTGGATTTTATCTAAAATTATATTCATCTCCAAAATGCAGGAAATCCAAAATACCTCATAGGACATATGTAGATTATCCATTAAATATTCAAAATATATGTATTATTTGCATCCTATATAAAGACTGCCTTTGTTGCTGAGTATATAAAGCACACATGCTCACTCTCATGCACACAATCCTAAGGTTCTGACTGTAAAGAGAACCTATTTTGTCTCCCCATTTTGCCTTGATTAATTTATTTAACTTAAGAAGATGAGATAAATCACCTAAATGAATAAATGATATGGTTCTTTTCTATATTGATGAAAGGAATGGGAGAAGATTAATATGGAAGTGTGTTAGCTCATGTCTATCAGTAAGCAGAAAACTCTCATCTACATACCACCTTAATTGTTTCTCTATTGGAAAAGTTTGTGAAGCAAACACTAGTAAAAAAATCATATGAATATGAGCTAGGAGGCTAAGATTCAACTGGGGAGTAATGAATTCAATAACTAAATCATTAATATGTTCCACAAGTCATAAATTAACTAGTCAAAATTTCATAATCATAATGCCTTAAAGCTAACATTATAACAAAATTCTTAAGAATTCAGAGTATTTGTTTCAAAATAAAATCAATACAAAAAAATATAGATTTTACATTTACATAATGAGAATCCCATTTTAAAATCCAAGAAAACATCCATCAAGCACTAATTATAACTGCCTTTGATTGAAAAACTGCACATTTGTTAAACGCATTTAAGCTGACATCATACCACAATAGCAAAAAGCGTTGTGGTTGCGTGAACGATTCTCTTCCTATAGATAGCAATTAGAAAATATTAATACAACATACAACATAAAAATAATTATTTAAATACACTGTAAAGTGTATAAATAAGGCATAATCAGGATCTTCTGGCAAAATTGTTAAATCCACATAGTGGAATACTTTAAGATACACCTCACATTAATGTACAGAACAACCAGACAAAAAACATAATATAGAAGATATGAATGACAGTGTCAACCATCATAACCATAGCATTTGTAGAATGCTATAGATAACAACTGCAGGACAAACATTATTTCAATCATATATGGAATGTTCACCAAGACTGACCACATATTGATCCATAGAACGAGTTCCAATAAAATAAAATAAAAAATCTCTTTAAAATTATGTTCCCTGATTACAGAATAATTAAATGAGAAATAAAAAAATACAAGTAGTAATGCTCCAAATATTAAACAACTCATTTTTAAACAGCCACTATGTCAACACAAAAATCAAAAGGGAATTATAAAATACGTTAATGAAATGATAATAAAAATAGTATACCAAAATGTATGTGAAGCTGCTAAAGATGTGTATAAAAGAGCATTTTCTATGTTAAATGCAAATATAAGACAAAAAGAAATGTCTGAAATCAATGATGTAAGCCTTCAAACACAAGAAACTAGAAAAAAAAACAGCAAATAAAAAATAGAGTGTGTGGAAGGAAGGGTGTAATAAAAATAAAGAGAACAAGTCAACAGAAGTCTGAATTTCAGATTAACTGTTTTTTTGTCTAAGTATGTCATAAATATTCTATAGGACATAATTACACATGTAAAAAAAATTGAAATTTTGAGTTTCATCTAAAATTGTATTTATCTTCAAAAATAAGAAATCCCAAATATCATAAAGGACACATGTATGCATTAAACGTTCAAACTATATGTATATTCTTTATCTGAATTAAACTTTAAACAGGTTTCTGTATTTTTCCTTTGCTAAATCTGATGACCGTTTAAGATAAAAATGAATAACACTAAAAGTTTGTTACTTGAAAAGTCCATAAAATTGATAAAACTTATTTTTAATTGATCAAGAAAAAAGGAGGCAAGGGACAAATCATTTTATTAGCAATTATAGAAAAGGCACCACTTAAGATTTTTTAGACACTATAATGATAGAAAGGTAACATTATAAACAACTTAATGCCAATTACATAAAATACAGGAATAACATAGAAATTGTAAGTTGCTGAAACTGACAAAAGAAAATATAGGCAATCTGACACAAAATAATATTTACTGTATGATTTCATTCATATAAAGTTCTAGAAAATACAAACAAAATTACATAGTGATAAAGCATATTCATATGGCTAAGGGTTTGGAAATTGACTGCAAATGCGCATGAGCAAATTTTTTCTGGAAGATCAAAATATTTCTCATTGTGATCATGGTGCAATTTTCATGAGACATCTTTGAAAACTCACCAAATGGGTCAAGTTTACTACATATAAGTTATGCTTTAATAATTTTATTAGAAATTTAATGAATAAAAAATGATTGTGGATTGGCTTGAGTGTTTATTCAGAGCTTTAGGCAGTTTAATCATTTGTTAAAAACAACTAAGTAACGAACTATTTAATTCTACAAATTTACATATGAAAAAGCAGATTGAAATAAATTAAAATTCAAGAGAAAAAAGAAGGAATTATTAAAGAAAATATTAAATAATGTGGTTGATAATGCAATTTGCACAATTTGATTGTCCAACTGTAAACAGAACACAGAAAATACGGTAATACAAAAATCTAAGAAAATTATCTGAGGAATTATCACCAGAAAATGAAAATGTCTATAACACTGTAAAATGTAGAACTCCCAATTTTTGAGCATTATATGATTCATAAAGGAAGGAAACTTCTCGATTCATCTGATGAATTTATGTCAATTCCCAAATCTGATGAAACACAAGAGACAACCAAATATCTTTGTATTCAAATAAATAGTGCATGAATTGCCATTTTCTTGGAAATTCACATTTGTGACCCGGTATCTCACAATTTAATGTAATAATTTTAAATATATATGTTTAATTTAATATCCATTGAAACTGATGTACCCTTATATATCTAAATATTTAAAACATTATAATTTAAATCAAATCAATCTTATAGATGTAATGCTGCTAAATAATTTCCATTCCATAAAATTTAGCAACCTATAAAATAATCATATACCATAATTATTTTTTCTAAAATCTATTCCATCACATTGAAAACTAAAAGAAGAAATCTTGTGATCATCCCAATGTATGATATAAATAAATTACCTAATCAATTTAAAATATATATTCTTGGAAAAGTAGAATTATAAAAACAAATTACTAAGAAGATAAAATAAATATGAAATAAAATGCCTACATTATATTTAATAATACAATTAAGATAATTTTACTAGACAGAAACACAGAATGAGAGATGAAGTATCAATAATACTATGTAGATTTGTTATACATGCCTTTTGCAACATGTAAAAATATAATAAATAAAATATCTCCAATTGCAATAGCATAGACACACATTTTTGATTAATATAAATAAGTGCCATGGAAACCAATAAAACCATCAAAATACATTTTAAGAGTTTATTATGATTACCAAATACAAATTCTATCAGTAGTTGCTCTTACATATAATATCAATTTCTCATTAGAATTGCAATAAAAATTGTCCAAAATTCACTAAAACATAAAATATAAAATGTCTAGGTTTAAAATTTGCATAAAATGTGGTTTCTTATAAAAGAAATTATGAAATATTATAATATTAAAGAACTAAAAATATAGACCTGATAATTATATACACAATGTTCCTAGATCAGAACACTCAATAATGTAAAGTTAATATTCTAGTAATTAACTATGTTTTATTAACATTTAATTTCCCTGCCAAAAAGCTATGTTGACATACTAACTTCAATTCTCTTAGATAAGGTTGTACTAGAGTAGGGTAAGACCTTGCTCTAATATGACTGGGTAGCCTTAAAAAAAGATGGCCATATGAGACAGACATGCAGAGGGAATACTCTGTGACTAGGAAGCAGAGATTGGAGTTATGCAGCTACAAATCAAGAATGCAAAGATTGGCAGCAAACCATCAGAAGTTAGGAAGAAGCAAAGAAGTATTTCTCTAAAGGTTTGAGAGGAGTATGGACCTGCAGACATCTTCATTTCAGACTTCTAGCGTCCAGAACTGTGAGACAATATATTTCTATTAGCTTTAGCATTCCGGCTTGTGATACTTTGTTGTGGCCACCCTAGAAAACTAATACAGTATTTGTGGCTGTGTTATATATAATGGCAAAATATTTGAAACTACTTACATATCAAAGAATAAGAAATATTGTAAATATTTATCTTTATGTATATCATAGAAACTTGACTTTAAAATTTTAGTATCAAGAATATGTAATAAATTTCAATTACTTGTAAGTGAAACAATTGCATGACAACAATTCTAATATTTTTTCAACATATTCAGTTTTACATTTGTAGGGATTTGTTTGTTTCAACTACATTAGTAATAAATTATCAAGCTTTTTTTCTCTGACCCCTGATTTCAGCTTTGCCATTTTTCCTCTGTCACTTAAGGTATCTATAATTGTTTTCATATTTTTTGTGATATCAAAACTCAAAGCTTTCCATTTCTATCATGATTGTCCAAACTTGTGGCTTTAGGGACTTGGAGTTTGGAGAGCAAAATAATCCATTCCTTTTCTCCTTGTCTGTCCCTATGTTTAAAAGTAAATTTTCTCAGTAGCAAATTGAAAACAGTAACTGGAAAAAGGGTAGCCCTCTCCCACATCACTCTTCTGGGTGGCAATTTCTCTGTTAATGGCTGCTTAGCCAGGCACTGCTGTTTTAGGGGGTATAAGTGTGAGTACTTAACAGAGTCCTCGGTGGCCTTGGTGCTGCCTGGTTCCATGAAGTGAAAATTCCATCACTTTGAACCTCTGACTCAAATTATTCATTAACTGCTAAGGTTTACTGAAAATGTCGGTAGCCTCTTTGATAGAGTAACTGTAGAACTTCTCAGGTCTTGTATATGGATATGTGTATACATGTATATGTATATAGATGTGTGTATATATGTGTATGTATATATGTATATTGTATGTATATGCATAAGCATATATGTATATAAATAAGCTTTATTTATTTTAATTTTTGCTGCTCAGATAGCCAGGGGACTATTTTATTCATTCACTGTCATTCTTTCAAGACTGAAAATGATCCCTTTTCACCTTGTAGACATTCTCAAGCTTACTGAGATTTCTGTGGAGCATTTCTCTTTAGTTGGTTATGTTGTGTGGGTTGGAAGGAGCATGCTGTATATACCATTCCCTTCTCTATGGCATATAGAGGGAACAATTTCATACCACAGCTACTAATCTTCTTCCAGGTAGAAAATTCTGATGTTTCTGTGACCTGCTTCCTAAGTTAAAAGTGGGGTCAAGAGGTGGTAATTCATCCTCTTCTGGCAATCCAAGTGCTCTTACAACTTACATAATACATGTACATACCTGTACATCCTTATGTGACTATAGTAAACAACACTTAATATGCATAAGGTCATGGAGTCATAAGTCTTTGAACAACTGAGTAGTGCATTGTGGTTGTATTAGTCCATTTTCATACTCCTATGAAGAAATGCCTGAGATTGGGTAATTTATAAAGAAAGAGAGGTTTAATGTAGTCACAGTTTCACGTTTCTGGGGAGGCCTCACAATCACGGTGGAAGGTGAGGAAGGAGCAAATGCATGTCTTACATGGCAGAAAGCAAGAGAGTGTGTGCAGGGGAACTGCTTTAATAAAACCATTAGATCTCAAGACATATTCACTATCACAAGAACAGAACAAGAAAAACCCACCTCCATAATTCAATTACCTCCCACCATGTCCCTCCCAAGACACATGAGGATTATGGGAGCTACAGTTAAAGATGAGATTTGGGTGGGGACACAGCCAAACCATATCAGCGGTGTTATTGTTTTGCTTATATTTTTTAATATTTCCTTTCACACTCTGAATTTTGAAAATTCCATATAAGTTTTATGCAATATGTTTAGAATCAGAAAAATATCTATTATTAAATATATAAATTCTTAACATATTATTCTCCAATATAATAGTTATTTTATTTTTAAAATTTCATACAAATACATATAATATTTTGGTGTCTTATGCCCACTAGTTTCACCAAAAGACATATAGATTCAGTGGTTTAATGCACAAGGTATAATTTACTTTGCAGATAAAAATTAAGGTATACAAAGGAAAGTTTATAATTCAGTGATAGATTAAAGCTTAGTGAAATGTTTTGTATCCACATCATATTAAACTATTTTCTACTCCATGACTGAAAAGTAAAAATGTGTTTTGTAAACAAACATAGTAATTTCAGTTGCTTAAGGTATCAAAGATTTTCAGAAACTGTATAATATACTTAAATTCAAATTAAAAAAAAAAAGAGAATGCTAGAAGATTAGCCACAGTGGCAGAATATGATATTATCCCAAGATCTAATTTCAGATTATGCATCAACATTGTATCAAATTCTATATTACTTGTTCTCTTACTATGAATAATTAAACATACAGCACTGATGAAAACAGTATCCAACCATTATAATGTCACAACTCACGGCACGGATTATTCAGATTTACTATTCAAGACATTGACATTGACTTTCCTTCTTCTTTATTTATTTATTTATGTATGTATGTATTTATTTATTTATTTATTTATTTTGAGCCAGGGTCTTGCCTTGCTCTGTCACCCAGGCGGGAGTGCAGTGGTGTGGTCTTGATTCACGGCAACCTCCGCCTCCTGGATTCAAGCAATTCTCCTGCCTCAGCCTCATGAGTAGCTGGGATTACAGGCGCACATCACCACGTCCAGGTAATTTTTTTGTATTTTTAGTAGAGACTGGGTTTCACCATGTTGGCCGGGCTGGTCTCGAACTCCTGACCTCAGGTGATCTGCCCACCTCGACCTCCCAAAGTGCTGGGATTACAGGCATGGGCCACCATGCCCGACCCTTTTTTAGTAATTTTTTTTCCCCTACCAATTTCTTCTGCTGCGTTATTTCCCTCAGCTGAATTTCAAAGTATTCCCTTCCTTTCTCGTGTTTTTAAAATGTCACCTACACTTATAATAAGTAGAATGTGAGCAATAATGTTAGTTGAATTCTGAGAACCAATGAAAAGATGGACATAAATCTGAAAATCCAGTAGAATATATCATGTTTAATAGTCAATAGTTTTCTTTTTGTCTTAACAACATAGGCTTTATGTCAAACTTAAATACATTGTGGGCTTCGTGAAAATAATTTCAACTTTGTTCCACTGGTAACCTCAATATTTAAAAATGTTTAAATAAAAGAATCCCTTCTTTATATGCATATGTATAAAGTTCTCACTTGTTTGTAATTATGATTGTTATTTCTTTTGGAAGAAATAATATCTGTAAAATGTATAAGGAAATAAATAGTGAATATTAATAAATAAAACATACAGATATCGGATCATAAGAATATATTAAGGGAACTAGCATCATAAAATATGAAAAAAATTGCCAAGTTCGTCTTTAATACAAAATTGTAAATGTCATTGATTTCTTCTTTTTCAAAAGTGGATAATGGTATCCAAGTATATAATTCTATTACTAGGGAAAATACATTGAGAAAAATATTGAGAAGCTTATTTTTCATAAAGCTAATTTAAGAAGGATAAGCCTGATTATCATAAACAAATAAGAGGAGGTAAATTTCTCCACATAATCATATAAAATGAAACATGAATTCCTGGAGCATCTATGAAGAAAGGAAATGAAGCGCCCACAAATGTTTGGAAGGGAAAAAAGGGGGAATTTAGGCAGAAGTCAAGATATTTAAAAGTAGAAGGAAATACCGACGTCATCTTTGTTACAGACTCAAACATTAAATGACTATAAGTAAGTAGCAAAGTATACAGGCAGTAAAACAGAAGAATAATAATACTGAAATTTCAATGCATGCATTCCGAGAAAAAATTTAATATATGTAAAAAAGAAAACAGAATAAAAACTATAAATATTTATGCATATATGTATATAGACACATGCACACACACACACACACATATCTTTCAATCTCTTAGTACAGTACAATGTTCCAGAAACATTCGTTTGATAATAGCCTGTTTCGCTCGGAAAATGTTAATTTGGCTGTTATTCAGATTGCCCTTCTCAAGGACAATTGGTTCGTGTATATTTAATTTGAAAGAGTACCATTGAGATTCACGACTAAAGCTTCTCTTTCTGAAATACCATTAAAGTATTTTCAATATTTCTAATCAATATTAGCCAAGAGAGAACTGGACACCATCCATCATTTAGCAAATGCAGCAGGACAATTTGGATTGCTGCTTAAGTACCCGTTGTCCAGATTACACAGACAACAATGTTACTACACTGAGAAATAACGCTTCCAAAATTACAGTTCAGAATTGGTTATATTTCAAGATTACTTCTTCAATATTAAATTGAGAGAAGTTATGTTAAAAGTCAGTTTTATTCAGAGTCATTTGCTCCTTTGTCATTTTCCATAATATGCTAAACATAACGTCATATTGGCCTTACCCAGTGTCTAACAAGGCACTCTCCCAGATGCGTATTTGAATAGCCTTTCCTGCTTGCAGTTTGAGTATTAAGTGTTACTTGTTATGGTTTAGAAAGCTTTTCTCACTCGCAAATACCCTTTCCTTTCCTCAGTGGATAATATGTTATTATTTTCCTTCAATCAGATATTAAATGTTAGTGTGAAGCCAAAAAATTGAGTGATTAACTTTCATCATAAATTAAGGTAACTTTTAACATTAAATTGTACATATCAACTGAAAAACAGATCCAATAAATTCTAATAACAACGCTGTCCCCACAAGTCTGCCTTAGATAATTTGTTCTCAGAAGTGGCTCTGGAAATTATATTTGTTTGCCTAAGCTTTTCTAGCTCTATTGTAAATTGTCTTTTCTATTTTATTATTTATATTGGAAATACTTTTGATTTAGTTCATAATCTTCCTGCAGAAGATACAATGTATATTTGTGCTTCTTCATACATTATACATGACAATAAGCAAAATTTACAGCAGTGTAAGCAAAAGAATAGTTAGCTTTACTGCAAAGTACAAAATTCAGCCAATTCAGCAAAAGCTTTGAAAGTCTAGTGGAAATATTTTCACAGTCTGCATATGTGTTAAAACAAGCCCTTCAAATATGTATGTGTATGTGTGTGTATATATATATTTATATGTGTATATATACATTTGTATATATGTGTATATATATACATTTTTTTCTTCAGAGAAAACTGAATCTTTTAATAAATTGAAAGTGGCAAGTACAAACACAAGGTGCCCTCTGTTTACAGTAACCATATTTAGTATGGTAGCTCCAAGTCTAAGTTCTTCCATGGGATTTGTTTAAAAGAAGACAATACTAATTTTAAATTTCCACATAAGGGTTGAAGCTATTTCAGTTGGGTATATAGCTTTCATACAGAGAAGGTGTTGAAAAACAGGAGTCTGACCAAGACGTTCTGTAGTTCCCCTCAGCTCAACTAAACTTTAGATAGCTTTTTCCCTGACTATAGACCTCTGACCTCTTGGCTTAGTCCATTTGAGCTGCTGTAACAAAATATATTAAACTGGGTAACTTATAAACAACAAACATTGCACACAGCTCTGGAACCAGAAAGTCCAAAATCAAAGTATTGGCAGACTCATTGTTTGGCGAGGGCTTGCTCGCTGCTTCAAAGATGGTGCCTTCTTGCTGTGTCCTCACATGGCAGAAAGAGAGGAAGAAACTACGATGCTTTCCTCAAATGTTTTTATATGGTTGACCCTATTCATGAGGGTGTAACCCTCACAAATTAATCATTTCCCAAAAGTCTCCACCTCTAAATACTATCACATTGGTTATTAGGTTTTAATATGTGAATTTGGCAGGGACACATACATTTAGATCACAGCACCTCCCTTCTCATAGATTACTTCAGAAAGTTGCAATTATATCATTGTCTCTCCTCTTTTGAGAAGTAAATCTTCTCTCAGCTTCTTTCCAGTTGTGTAAACCGACGGATGTCTTTCTCAAGGACCTGGGACTCATCACTTTGAAATGTTATCATAAAGAAATAGTAGCATTCCAACTTGTCAATCTTGATTGAAGTGTCAGAACCTAACTTAGATAAGCACCAGCTAGCAAACATAGATGGACTAAGCACAATAACGAACCTTCCTTTCCCCTAACATGCCCTAATACTTTCCCACTAATCCACCAGCATTTAAAATTCCTTCTGTCTTTTGTTCAGGGGAGTTGAATTCAATTTCTCTACCCTACTTCTACAATCTTTTACTCCTTTGCAATAATCTTAGACAAATGTCATCTTTGCCTGTTTAACTTCATTCAGTGTAATTTTCTTTACCAAGTCTTTGTCTAAAACCACTATATAGAATAATCTCTGGAGAGTCTGTTTCTACAAAACCTTAACTTCATAGTCTGACTATATTTGAGCGTGGTAATTTGGGGCTTTTCAAATTGCCTGAGAACTTGCTAATAGTTAGAAGTTTATTTATTTTTATGTATGTATTTTATTTTCAGGAGCTGTAGCCAGTCATCCCTTAGTTTTTATTCTCTAGCCAAAAAAAAAAAAAAAAAAATAGACATCTGCAGAAGAAAGTCACCACTTGTATTCTGATACATCAGTCTACATGTGACAATTGTCCTAGGTTTCTTCCTTGACTAGTATATGACAATTTTCCTGGGTTTCTCCCTTGACAAGTATATGACAAGGGCTAGAGTTTGGATCTTCTTCATGTGGGCCCATCAGATGTCTTTGGTCCTCCCTGTACTTAAAAAGAGAAGGTTTCTCTAACAAAATGTAACTTTTAATACAGTTTCAGATCTTACACTTGATTTTTTTCATCGTTTTGTTTGAAAATTCTCGTCATTTTTTTTCAGCTTTATTGAAGTTTAACAAAAATCGTACATGTTTAAGATGTACAATATGATGAGTTGATATGCATACACATTATGAAATTATTATAATAATCAAGCTAATTAACACACCCATGAACTCACATGATTACCATTTGTGTGCATGTGTGTATGTGTGTGTATGCATGGTAAGAATAACTAAAAGCTACCATCTTAGCAAATTTCCAGTGTAAAATTTCCATGGTGTACATTATATCTTCAAGACTTTTTCATCTTACAACTGAAAGTGTGTGTCCTCATTCGCACTTGTTAGGGGTAATGTATCCCAATGAGCACTTTCTGTACATTTCTGAAATTATTCTCTGAAAAATGTACCCATACATAGATACTTGAATGTCTATTTAAATTTCAGATGGTTGATGAAACTCTTTGCTGTGAGGTGCATATTATTTAATACCATTCTACTCCCAACAGCAACTTCTCTCCATCTTGAATTAATAAAAGAGTACAGCTCCTCTCTGCCCCAATATTAGTCCCTGTTTTCTTCTAATGTTACTGCTTAATATTCTCAAATACATGAGTAACTGAAGGTAATAGTTTCATACTAATCTGGTTCTACCTCTTATAATTCCTCCCATAAGTTCAGAGACACTTTTTCTATAATATTGTATTTCCAAAGACAATGACACTTTTCAGAAAAAGTGAGTGAAATTCTACTTGAAATTGTAACTTCTTCACTGTTGCAGATCACTTCAATAAGATTTTCTATTAAAACTGTTGTTCTACAAAATCTTAACCAGGCTATTATATCTGCTTTAGCTAAGTTTATTCTTAAACGGTCATTAAATATTTTCAATTTTTTAATGATTATCTTCTTGAGTGTTACATTTTTACTCATACTCACAACCTTAGAAAGAACTTACCTAGAGTTGCATTATTTATATAAGTAGAATCCAGTTATTCCATCAAAAATCTGCTCTTTTATTAACCTCCTTCTGGTAAATGACTATGACCGAAATATGCCAACCAAAATTCCACAAATTTCATGACCCAAGGCAAAGTTTATTTTCTCATATTATCCAAACTGCCAGAGAGTTTACAAAGTCCAGAGCTAAGTGTTATTTTTCTAACTAGTTAATCTTGGATCAAGTGGTCATAGTTTTTTTTTTAAATAATAACCTTTAGGATGGATTTGGGTAAATGACTATGACCGAAATATGCCAACCAAAATTCCACAAATTTCATGACCCAAGGCAAAGTTTATTTTCTCATATTATCCAAACTGCCAGAGAGTTTACAAAGTCCAGAGCTAAGTGTTATTTTTCTAACTAGTTAATCTTGGATCAAGTGGTCATAGTTTTTTTTTTTTTAAATAATAACCTTTAGGATGGATTTGGGCCAGTACTCCAGAGAATTGACAGACAGACTTATTATCAGCGCTGTGACAATGATTTACCTTATTTCTGCACTCAGAAACGAGAACATATGTTCAATGACTCTACTGGCTCAGAATGGACATCCATCTTTGCTCCTTTGCTCTTGTTTTATAGCAGTGCATGTCTTTGTCTCTCATCATTTCCAGGAAAAAATAATTTTAAATTCCATGCCTCAATTGATATAAGTAGGCAAATTTATTCCTCTCCTTGTTTGCATTGTACTAAAAATGAACGTATTTTATTATAAAATAGAAATTTACGTAACATTTTATTTGTGCATTTTATACTTTTATATTTTAGTCTCTTTTATAATCCAGAAAGTAATTAGAACAACATGAAATCAATGTGAAATGTGAACAGTAATCAGCATGCTATTTACGTATTTTGTAATATTTGTAGTCTTAATCACAAATCTCCAATCAAGATAGCATTTTTCTACTATCTTCTTGATAGAGGTACAGAAAAGACACAGAAATTCAAGTCCAAAATCGTACTTTTATTTCCTCTGGTATGGAAGATGGAGAATAGACTTTTAGGTGACCTCATGATTCCTGGTTTCTGGTCTTTACATTCTTGGATAATCCCTCCCTTGGTTGTGTAAAGACATATGATTTACTGCTAATGAATGAAACATGACAAAGGTGATTAGAAATATGTGATTGTATTGACATGATTACAGAAGATTGATAAGATTGTAAAACCTATTTGGCAAGCATCTTTCTCTCTTCCTCTTTCATACAGGCATGCTCTTTCTCACTGGGTTCTTCTCCTTTTCTCTTTACATTGCTGGTTTTGAGGAAGCAAGTTATCACATGTCCTATAGCTACAAGGCAATAAATGCTGACAACAACCTGAGAGAGCACAGAAGTCAATTATTTCCCAGGCAAGCCTTAAGATGAGAGTGCAGCCTAAATAATGCCTTGACATCAGCCTTGGGAGTCCTGAAACAGCCCAGCTAAGTCTTGCTTGGACTCTTGAATTGTAGAAGTGGTGAAATAGTAAAGGTGTGTTGTCTAAGCCACTACATTTATTGTAAGTTATCATACAACAATAGAAATCCAAGATATCTACAAATACTACTTTTACTTTTGGATTTTGGTTTTTCTACTTTACTTACTAATAACATACATTCACTATGTAGGCTTAAAACATAAGTCATCCTAAATTTTTCTTTTTTCACCATTATGAACAACAGCTATTCTTTTAATAAATTCTATTAATTTCATTTTAGTAAGATTACTCCACATGACCACCTCTATCAAATAATGGAAGCTTTCCATAACCCAGAAATTTTTGTCATGTAGATTTCTATTTATGTATCCCCACTCGCTATCCTAGAAAACCAGTAATGTGATTTCAATCATCATAGATTAACTTTACCTGTTCTAAAAGTTTTTAAAAAATGGAATTATACATTTTATACTCCATTGTAGTCCCAGCATAATAATTTTGAGATTTACTCATATTTGTGCATTCTTTCCCCATTCACCCTTTGATGAACTTTTGTTGATTACAATTTGAAATTAAGATCTGATATGATTAACCTTCTTTGAACATTTATGCATTTGTCTTTTTGTTGACTTTTTTATTACTCTTGGCAACTTATCTAGGGATGAAATGCAACCTATGTCTGAGTCATAGGCTAAGGGTCCGTTTAACATTATAAAACTCTGACAAATAATTTTTGAAAAATGGTGTGATGTTTTACACATCAACCAGAAATGGATAAGGTTTTAGTTACAACTGATTATCGTCAGAACTTGGTATTGTTATTTGATGTAACTCTAGCCATACTGGTGTGATGCACTGCCTCACTAAATATAAGTTGTATTGTGATAGTCATATATAAATGTTTAGGAAATATTTATTGCACAATGTTCTAGGTTTTCATTTTATTAATCAAATAAACTCATTCATACTCCAACCACACATTCTACACACAATTATAACATTTTGTTTCATTGGTATATGTGATTGACTTATTTTCTTTCTATATTAGTCTCTACTTTCTCATCTTCCTGTCAAATTCTAACAATTTATCAAACAGTAAGTTCACATCCCTTGGGAATTATTCCTTTCACAGCTAAGTCAAAATAAATATCTCCCTCTGTCATCATTTTAAGCAATAATTTTTAAAGTGTCATTCCACAACCAGCAGCATAAGCATAATATGAGAATTGGTTAGAAATTCAAATTATCTGGGTCGTACATTATACCTACCAAATCATAACTTCTGGGGGTGGAATCAATCAATCTATGTTTTAATAATTCCTCCTGGTAATTCTGATGCCTGCTTAAGTTTGAGGGCATTGCTCTTTTTTAGGATATCACTACTTAATATTTTGTATGCCAGTTTATGAATCTGTATTATTCTATTGACTATGAGCTCATTGTAACTAGGGATTACAGGTTATTCATTTTTCTACCTCATATAATACCAAGGACCAAACTTTGCACAGAAGAAAAAAATCAATGATTCCTTGATGAATTAAACTATATTGAAAGTAAAACAATTTGTATCTTTTCTCTGTATCGAGTATTGAATAAATGATATTTGTCTTAAAATGTATATCATTTGCTGCAGTTTTACTCTTAGCTATTTCCTCAAAATAAACACAATCAGAAATATCAAAAGACATATGTTGAATTTTAGTGTTTAATAGAAACATTTTATGTGCAGAAATACTAGAACTTTTTTCTCATTTCTTTCCTTTACATGTTAAGTCTGTCTTGGAAGCGGAGACTTCTATACACAGGGATAGTAGAGATAACAAAAGAAAAACTTACTTTCTCAAAAGCAATTGAATATACTTTTCTTTTAGAGGTCATTGCTATCTATCTCTTCTCATTGGACATAATTCTTATGGTGAATAATTAACAAGGTTTTGTTGTTTCGTTGTCATCCTCTTCAATTTTGTCAATTAGTTGATTGGTTTGCATAAGGAAGCCTAATCTATCTGATTATTTACAGAGATGAGATAACCATATACTAGGTCTCAACTGAATTCTCAAGTGTACACTTTCACAACTCTCTTTTTTTGTATTAGTATTTGAAGACCACCTTTGGAGGTATGTGATCTTTCCAGAGTGCTAAATTATTATAGTTATAATATGATTGATACCTTCCACATTTAGGAATATCTCACACATAGAGTAAGAATGCCCTTTTTAAAAAAATATTTTGATACATAATAATTGTATATATTTATGGGGAACATGTAATATTTTAATACAGGCATACAATGTACAGTGGCTGACTCAGGGTAATGTGGGTATTCATCACCTCAGGCCTTTATCATTTATGTTAGAAACATTCCAATTCCACTCTTACAGTTATATTAAAATATAAAATATATTATTGTTTACTCTAGTCATCTCGTTCTCTCAAATACATCATCTTGTTCATTCTAATTGTATTTTTGTACCTATTAACCATCCCCACTTTATCCCTCCCCTCCCTACTACCCTTCACAGCTTCTGGCTACCATCATTCCACTTTCTATGTCATGAGCTTTTTGTTGTCGTTGTTCCACATATTAATAATAAACCAGGGTACTTGCCTCTATGTGCCTGGCTTATTTCACTTAATATAATGTTCTCCAGTTCCACTCATGTTGCATGACAGGACTATTTTTAACACACTGCTCTGGACAAACAGTAGTCAATACAGCTTTTAAGTTACTTATTTTTTTCTCATCACATTCTGTTTTAGTTTTGATGATGTAACAAGAGTAAACATATAGTCACTATTTAAGATTTTCTGTATACAAAAATCATACAACGTAAGTTTATTGACTATGGATTCTTTGAGATAAGGTTAATTTTTTAAAATAAAAATTGGATAAATGTATAGTAATAGATTGTTTCTGTGCACAAGTGGGATAGAGAATCTAATTCACTTCCACGGAATTGTTTCTTATTTAGAAAAGTCTGCCTAAGTGATTTTTTTTTTTCATTTTCTATTTTGGACAGAAAAAAAAAAGCTGAGACTAAACTCAGCATCTCAATAGAAATTTAAATAAACCATCTATGGTTAATAATATCATAATTGAGTACCACTAAAATTCCATACTCAGGGCTACAAGATCACCAGAGACTTACTGTGTCAATATTTATCCAGATAATTATCCTACAAACAATTTCTTAATAATAAAATCAATATGTACTGTATTTTTAAAAATTCTAGAATCCAAATCATGTCATCAGTCAACAAAGTATCTGTTTCCACTGTACGTGGCACTGTTGTATTCAAAACATTTATGATGCAGGAGAATTACAGTGATGAAATAGTTACTTTAACTGTGTCATCGTCTTTATATTCACATTATTTCTACATACACACACGTATGCATACCCACACATATATCCAAATATATATATGAACCTGTTGAAGAACCTTTAACTTAAAGTGAATATGCCACTGGTTAAAAATATCTCAAACAAGTTTCTTTGTAACCATCACCCATCAAATTTGATAAGTAGTATTTTAATAATAGCATCTTAAGTCAATCATTCCATAGTTTATAAATCAATACAAAAGTTGACCATGTCATTACTTTGTTGTTAAGGTATTACCCCATAACCTCTTCCTATGGCTGTTGTGGGTGATACTAAGAAAGCATTATGTGTTGTCCTAGATCATGTTTTTCCATTTTCATTTGGAGGTTCTAATAAACCGAAAGGACGTGATGGAAGTGTATCTTCACCTGCCTTGATTCAGAATTGAATATGTGTCTAGAATACGTATGTTGGGCTTAGCTTCTAGTCTTCAATAAGACCTTGAACATATTTTAAATATCTTAATAAAATATGTATTTTACTTTAGAAAGAACTTGAAAAGTTTTACTTAAAAAAAAAAAGTACATGTTTTAAGCTATTGCTTGCCCATCTTTGACCAGAAAGCACATACGATGTGAATGATATTTTGGCATGTCCCCAGTTCATGTTTTCTATCGTGGTCTTTGTTTTTTTATTTTAATTTTAATATTTATTTATTTATTATTTTTTATTTACTTATTTGTTTTTGAGACAGAGTCTCGTTCTGTCGCCAGGCTGGAGTGCAGTGGTGCGATCTTGGCTCACTGCAACCTCCGATTCTCTGGTTCAAGCGATTCTTCTGCCTCAGCCTCCAGAGTAGCTGGGACTACAGGTGTGCATCACCATGCTCAGCAAATTTTTGTATTTTTAGTAGAGACAGGGTTTCACCATGTTGGCCAGGATGGTCTCGATCTCCTGACCTTCTGATCCACCCACCTCAGCCTCCCAAAGTGTTGGGATTACAGGCGTGAGCCACCGCACCCGGCCATTTATTTATGTTTGAGAAGAAGTCTCGCTCTGTCGCCCAAGCTGGAGTGCAGTGGTGCAGTCTTGGCTCACTGCCACCTCTGCCTCTTCCTGCCTCAGCCTCCTGAGTAGCTGGGATTACAGGCACACGCCACCACGCCTGGCTAATTTTTATATTTTCAGTAGAGACAGGGTTTCACCATGTTCGCCAGGCTGGTCCCAAACTCCTGACCTCAGGTGATCCACCTGCCTCAGCCTCCGAAAGTGCTAGGATTATAGGTGTGAGCCATTGCACCTGGCCCTATGGTGGTCTTTAGAAGACATAAGTAATATTATAGCCAGTTACATTGTTTACAGTACTTGGCCAACATAAGAGAACCAATAGTTCTCAAACCTGTAGCTTCATTTAATCCCTTTATTTATTAAACACAGACATACAGAAATAAATAAAAACCACTTTCCTTTGTCTACACCCTTGGTTCTACCCAGGTTAGTACCCAGCAACCCTTCAATCCCAGTGCTCTGAATCCCTCCATTATCAGGTCATTTGAAGGTGGTAAACTTCGTGTTATTTTTTATTATATCTTAATAAAGAAAGTTGGTGTTAGGCAATATTTCTGTTTTCTCTGTTGGTGAACATTTGATTGATTCTGTTGTTATTTTCTTTTGTTATTGTTGCTTGTTTTGTCTGTTACCAGATCCCCTTTAAAAAAATAGACATAATTGTTCCTAAATCCCTCTTATAGTTTTTTGAAACATTATACTTTATTATCTTAAAGATGTAATTATTGAAGCTTCAAAAAGTTGTTAGAACTCTGAAGAAGACAGATATCTGAAACTATGCTAACAATATGATTAAAATTGTATAAAAGAAAAAAATAACAACTACTTAAATCTACCCATTTACATATAGAAACCAATATTTTCCTCTAATGAAAGTTTGTAAACAGCTGACCTCTGCAAGCTTTTGCCAATGACACTACATGTATAGTTGCCAATGTTATGTTTGTGAAGTAGCTACTGAAGTTTTTTTTTAATAATTTACTTTAATTTCTGAAATATGTTATTCTCTACAACTCAAAGAATTCACATACATTAATTACATAGTTCAGGTATGTAATTTGTGAATGTGAATATTTATGTAGTATTTTTAGTATGCCATGCTTAGTTTGAAAACATTACAATAAACAATTTTCAGAAGCTACTATGAATTATGTCTACTGTAGAATAGTATTATCTTATATGCATAACTTGCAACTTCATTTTTACTTGTTTAAATATACATGTACTGAATAGATACATGTGTCAAGATCCATTTTATTTAATTAATTAATTAATTAATTAATTTTTATTTATTTATTTATTTTGAGATGGAGTCTCGCTCTGTCGCCCAGGCTGGAGTGCAGTGGCACAATCTCGGCTCACTGCAAGCTCCGCCTCCTGGGTTCACGCCATTCTCCTGCCTCAGCCTCCCGAGTAGCTGGGACTACAGGCGCCCACCACCACACCTGGCTAATTTTTTGTATTTTTAGTAGAGACACGGTTTCACCGTGTTAGCCAAGTTGGTCTCGATCTCCTGACCTCATGATCCACCCGCCTCAGCCTCCCAAAGTGCTGGGATTACAGGAGTGAGCCACCGCGCCCAGCTTATTTTATTTTATTTTATTTGAGACAGGGTCTTGTTCTGTTACCCAGGCTGGAGTGCAATGGCATGATCATGGCTCACTGCAGCCTCAGACTCCCAGGCTCAAGTGATCCTCCCAATTCAGCCTCCCAAATAGCTAGGACCACAGGTGCACACCATCACATCCAGCTAATTTTTGTTGTTGTTGTTTTGTTTTGTTTTCGTTTTTTGTATAGAGGGGTTTCTCTATGATTCTCAGGTCAATCTTGAATTTCTGGGTTCAAGTAATCTACCCACCTCAGCCTCCCAAAATGCTGGATTACAAATGTGAGCCACTGTGCCTGGCAGATCTATTTCATTTGTCAGTGATTCAGTTGGACAGATGAAATCTTCCTCTCATGAATTTTAAATTTGGATATTGCAGTTTTGTGGGAGAGATACAGACAGCAAATTTATATTAAATGTGCTTTTATTTATGATAGTCATAGCTTTTTAGAAATATAGCTGGAAGAAGTGACAAAAAAAGTGGAGGAAATATCTATCTAATTTAGATTTGATTCTAAGACATGGACAGCAGAAAGTAGTCAGTTATAGAAAGA
Source organism: Homo sapiens (assembly GCF_000001405.40). Lineage (NCBI taxonomy): Eukaryota > Metazoa > Chordata > Mammalia > Primates > Hominidae > Homo > Homo sapiens. Next base: position 83,014,123 of record NC_000013.11, read on the forward strand.
ACTTGGATTATGCAATTTTAAAACCTCTAGTCAAGGGAGAGCTTGATGTGTTCAGAAAATTGAACATGGACCAATGAATAAAGAACTCAGAGAATGAAAAGTAGTACCAGATAAAGTTGGTCAAATTTTCTTTTAAGTGCATTGCAAACCCATTTGAGGGCTTAAGAAAGAGAATGATATTATTTGTTTTGCACTGCAAAAATATAATTTTGAGTCATCATAGCATTGTAGGTTGAAAACAAATATGACCACTCTCTATTTTAGTAGCCTAGATAGAAGGTGATAGTGGTTTACACTGGGACATTGGCACTGAAGACTACAGCAATTCAATAGATAAGGCAATAATTTAGGAAAGAAAATCAGGAATATAAGCTTGATATGGTATGGAAAATAATGCAGAAAAAAGAAAAATTTTTTTTTTTTTAGGATTTTAGGAAGATAACTGGGTTCATGTTGGCCCTGTCGACTGAGATAAAAAAGATAGAAGATGGCAACATATTCTACTTAAGTAGTAGAAGGCATCATTGTTCCTGTTTTACTGTGGCAATTTTGAGAGGTCTATCACATGTCTTACTGGAGCTCAGTGGAAAAATCAGAGGTACAGCGGGTCATATTACAGTTATCTGGACAGGCCATTATATAAGATTACCTAGAGGGAAGATACTAATGGGAAGGAGTGCGTTGAATTATAAAGATTCTACAAGGAAGAACATTTCAAAATGTAGTTGTCTTATAGTGTGAATACTACCAGCAAAATAGGGTGGATTAGAGCAAAAAGTATAGCATGCTGAAAACAGGCTATTTGATTTACTTGAAGATAAGTGAGATTGCCTGTAGTTCCAGCATTATGACAGTCATCAGCTATAGACAGGGTATATCTGTAGTTTGTTATATTTACATATTTTCCCACTTAACCTAAAGACTTTTGAGTAAATAGATAGCTACAGAAAGTACAAGTACTAATACCCAAGAAATATTGAGATTTTTTTAAAAGCCAGAAAAAGGATTCGATGCCAGTCCTAGCAGTAAGTACTATGGCTATATAATGGCTTAAACATAAGTATTGCTTTATCATTAGACTGAATGGAGAAGCATTCTGGCAAAGGAGGTATTTGATATGGACCCTGAAGTGTACACAACATTTGAATAGGCACTGAACCATGGGAGGAGATTTCAAATGGCAGAAATGATGACAGTAATGTACACAAGCACAAGGTTTGTTTAGAGGATAGTGCATCTGCAACTTTAAGAGGAAAAGCCCTACGAATAAAGCTTATAGTAAGAGATAAAAGAAAATCAATGTCATAAATATTGATGAGCAGATAACGTAGAGTCTGAACATTCCCATTAATGATAATGCTTTCCACTGCAGTTTTAGGGGTGTTTGCTCCTTTTTAAATTGCTTTTTCTCTGAAGAAATATTATATGTATTTACATCATCATATCAAAGAGGGTCCCCTAGAGAAAAGTAACCACGAATAGGGTATACTGAAAGAAGAGAAAGAGAGTTTAAAAGAATTAGATCAGATCTTACATGATTGTTGGGTCTGTCAAGTTGATTATCCGTAGGGAGGTCAGAAACAGGCTGAAAAATCAGGCAGAAGTTGAGGCTGCAGTCAGGGGAGCAGAATTTTTTTTATTTTGTAGAAAATCTTACATTTTTCTCTCTCTCTTTTTTTTTTTTTTTTTTTTTTTTTTTGAGACTGAGTCTCAATCTGTCGCCCAGGCTGGAGTGCAGTGGCATGATCTCAGCTCATTGCAAGCTCCATCTCTCGGGTTCACACCATTCTCCTGCCTCAGCCTCCCGAGTAGCTGGGACTAGAGGCACCTGCCATCATGCCCTGCTAATTTTTTGTATTTTTAGTAGAGACAGGGTTTTACCGTGTTAGCTAGGATGGTCTCGATCTCCTAACCTCATGATCCACTGGCCTCGGTCTCCCAAAGTGTTGGGATTACAGGCATGAGCAGCTGTGCCCAGACTTTTTGTTCTTTTTTTTGAGATAGAGTCTCGGTCTGGTGAGGCAGGAGTACAATGGTGCACTCATGGCTCACCGCAGCCTCCAACTCCTGGAATGGGATGATCCTCCTGTCTAGGCCTTCTAAAATGCTGAAACTACAGGTGTGAGCCAATAAACCCAGCCTAAGGCCTTTTAATAATTAGATGAGGGTCACACACATTATGCAGGATAATATCCTTTAAAGTCAATTGATTTTAGATGTTAACCAATGTACAAAATATCTTCACAGTGAAACCTATATTAATGTTTCACTGAATAACTGTGTATAATTGCCTACTCAGGTTGGCATGAAATTTGTCATTATAGTCCTCCCTTTGTCAACTTAACATCTATATCCATCTACTTAAACCATACTAAATATCCAAATGAAGACAGAAACGAAGTCATATATTTACCTAACATGACACAATAATTCTGCATACAATAGAAAACACATTAACCTTTTTCCCAAAAGAGGATGTGAAGTCCTTGGGTGATGGTTACCCTTCTCCTTAATATCCTGTAAATTAAATACTGTGATGTAAAGTTAATTATTATTAATATGTTTTATGTTATGTAATAAAAAAACAAGTGGGGGGAGAAACATATTACTTATAACAAAATAAGAAATAAATCTCATAACAATTAGCTGCCCTCATTTATGTGACTGGTCACGTGCTCATGGCTGCTACCACATTCCACTACTTAGTCCACATTCTTCCTGCCCTCAGCAAGCACCTTGGCCATTTAATTTACCTGGTGGGGTGACCAAATGTTTATTCTTGAATAGTCTGGGCCACTACTAGTCTTGCTACCTGAACTGGGTGGTTGTAATTTACCAATGACTTTAATCACGGGGCATGGGAATGCTAAGACATGCCCTACAGGATCTTCTGTAATCCAGACATATTGTTCCTTATCTCTATTGTGTTGCAGCTGTCCGATTTTTTCTTAATAATCAGGATCAATCACTTGAGCCAGGATAGTCACTTTCTTTTTTCCAGTTGATTCAGAGGCATAAAGAGCCCACCGTTCCTGGTAGCAGTTTTAACTTCCAGGTCAGTGAAATGAATGTTGTACCTCCTTGTGGAAGGCTTTTGAAACTAAGACCTCTCAGATGACTAACGCAGGTTAATGCGGTGGGAACAGAAAGCAAAAGTTTTTCTAGCACATTGCTAGGAGAAATAGTGAGTGGAGCCACTTCCAAACCCATCCCTTGATTTCTGAACTCATGAATTCTGATTACAGGGTAAACGTTACCATACACGACATGCTGATTTAAAGCACATAGAAACTTTGCTGAATATTGTCCCATATCTACAAGGTATTGTCACCGAGCTGGTGCTGTGGTGAGTCTTCAAAAATCATTCCATTGTTCTTCCAAGCCAACTGCTTCAGGAAGATAAGTGAAGTGGTAAAACCATTGAAATCCATGAGCGTGGGCTCATAGCCATATTTTCTTTGCCATGCAGTGAGTTACTTCAAAGAAGCAAGCTAGAACTGTACAGCTGTACAGCTGTACAGAACACAATGGTAGTGAATAAGTCATTCTGTAAGTACATGCATGGAAGTTTTTGCTAATTGCATATAAGGAAGGTAAATCCATATCCAGAGTGAGTGTCTATTCTAGTAAGAACAAAATGCTGCCACTTCCAGGATGGAAGCCATTCAATGCAATCAAACTGCCACCAAGATAATCTAATCACTCTGGAGAATGGTGCCATATCGGAGAATCAGTTTTAATTTCTGCTGTTGGCAGATCATGTCCTCAGTCATGTCATAGAAGCCCATGTTTCTTAGCCCATGCCTTACCTCCATCCTTTCAACAATGACCACGTTGTTCATGAACCCATTGAGCAATGCGAGACATATCTGGGGAAAGAGACTGACTGGCATCCAGAGAGAGGGTCATTATAACTCACTTTATTGCTGGAATCCTCCTTGCTCAGGAAACCCTTTGGTGATCATTTACATAGAACACACATATTATTTTCACATTTTGCCCATTTGAAGTGATCTATATACATTTCTCTTTTCCAGACATCCTTGTCTCCAATATTCCAATCATGTTACTTCCAAGTCCCTGACAAGTCAGACAAATCAATGGCAACAGTTCATGAATCTGTATACAATTGTCCATTTGATTATTTCTCATTCCAAGAAAAATAAACAACCAAGTGCACTGCTCAAAATTTTGTCCATTGAAAGGATTTCCTTTCACCACTGTCCTTCAGAGTTATCTCAGAGTGTGATTGCAGTACTGTAGCAGTTTACATTCACGTAGTTTATGCATGTCATGGAGAATCAACTGTAAACAAGGCCCCAATTTTTTCTTCCTGAGTCAGCTGATTATAGGGAATATGCATAATACTGTTGGTGTGAATTGGAACTGAAAAGGTAATGTAACAGAAGTGGAAACCATGAACATTTATACCAATTTTTCATGTAAATGGCTTTTGCCTTAAGGACCTGCTCAAGAATAATTCCATATATACCACTTCTTTTTGATTATGGAGTGCTGATGCACATGTCTGATTCAATGGACTGAGGGTTGAGGAAACTTTCACTTCATGATAACCAGATTAGGTTGTATGGTAAGTTCATGACCAGTGATTAAACATTCATTATCTACTAAGGCCCTGTGGCAAGTCCAAATCTGCTTCTCAAAACAAAAGTTCTTGTCTGCAGAAGATGGCAGCAATTTCCTTTAAAATCCTAGGGGCTTCTGCTATATTAGCCTGTAAAAGGCTTAGAACACCATCTCTATCTGCCACTGACACATCAAGAACCATTGGATAGATTGGCTAATATGACCCAAAAGGCAGAGTAGCTTGCACTGCACCCTGAACTTTATGCAAAACTTTGTTTTATTGTGGGGCCAACAAAAATCTTTTTGTGTCACTTGGTAAATGGGGCAGAATAGCACACCAAAATGAGAAACATGTTGCCTTCAAAAATCAAAGACACACTGAGATCTGTGCCTCTATTTTGATTGTAGAAGAGGCCAGATTCTAAAGTATAATTAAAAAAATAAAAATAAAAATAAAAAAATAAAACACTTGATACTGTTATTTCATATCAGAAATGGGTAGAGACATTCATACCATCCAGGTGTGAAGAAATTGAGAGAAAGTTATATGGATCAGGCATAAAGATATTGCTGTGAACCCTGTGATTCAGGTGAAATAGAAAATATTTATATTTCAGAAGTTTTACCAAGATTCGAAGGAAAAATAAAATTAATAAAAATGAAAAAAAAAGAAGAGGCCAGATTTAACAACTTATCCTTCACATAGATGGTATCTTTCCATCTGCCACAAAACGCTGTATCCCTAGAAATTTCACTAAGGTAGAAGCCTCCTGCATCTTTCTGAGATTTATTTCCTGTATTCTGACACACAATTGTCTTACTAATAAGTCTAAGGTGGTTGTTATTTCTTGCTCACTAGGTCCTAACAGCATAATGTCATCAATGAAATGAACTAGAGTAATGTCTTGTGAACAGAAGAGGCAAAGTATTAAGTTGATGCAAAAGAGTAAGTTACTCATAATAGCAAAAACCGTAAGTACTTTTGCACCAACATAATAGATCCCTGCACACTAAATTATAGCATAGGTCTACATAACACTTAAGTAGGAGAGGGAAGGTATACTGCTGTCTTATTGGCTGAAATAAAACTGCTTTTGTTGACTTTTACTAATAGACACTCGCTAGGTGAATAGCCACATACCAGGTACCAGGAGGTATGTTAATTTGTTCAAGAAGTGAAAACTCATTTGAACACCAGCAGCAACTGGAGTCACTACCTGGTTAAATTTAAGATAATCCATTATTATTTTTTAAGATCCCTCTGTGTTGTGCACAGACCAAATAGGTGACTGAATGCGGAGACAATGGTAATACCACCTTTGTAGCTTTCATTTCCATGAGATGGTACTAATGTCTACAATTCTTCTAGAAATGTGTTACCACTTTTAGCTTACTATGTTTGTGTAAGTGGAAGCAGTTCTAGCGTCCCAATTTGAACTTTCAACCACAACGGCTCTCATTCTGCAAATCAGAGAACCAGTCTGGGGACTCTGCCAGTTGTTGCATATGTCTATTCCAATTATGCACTCCAGAACTGGGGAAATAACCACAAGATGGGCTTAGAAAGCCATTGGATCTATCGTGAGATGGACTTGAACTAAGACTCTTCTGATCACCTGAGCCCCATAAACCTCAACTCTGACTGATGGACAACAGTGACACTTTGGGTCTCCTGAAATTCATGTCAGTTCAGAGCCAGTGTCTGATAACCTTCCCCAAATCTAACTATTTGTTTTTCCTCAATGCAGAGTGACCGTGGTAAATCCTAAGTCTTTTTTGAGAAAACTGGGAAAAGATAACAAGTACAGATTTTGAGCCTTGTGTGGTCTTTCTTCTAGGGGACCTAGTTTTTTCACTCAAGGGGTTCTGAGTCTATAAGTCTTATAATCTTATAGACTTTATGACTTTATTGCTCAAGTCTTAAAATTAAATCTGAGGTTGTGGCTCTATGTTCTAATGATCAAGGAACACGATTGTTAACTTAAACTAGAGTTCTTCCACTTATACAGATCAAGAAAAAATTTAATCAATTTCTCACCTATTTCTCTTCTATGGACACCATAATAAACAACTTAATACTGTAGGTCTCTGTAAGTGTGTTCATTATGGTAATCACTCCGTGTATTCATTACGGTAATTACTTCAATGTTATCTTCAGTAATTAAGTTAGCTCCTATTATCCCAGGATCAAATTATCATTGCTGTATTTAAATATCCCAGTTCAGTGACAACAGTTTCTGTTATAATTTCTGGCCTGCAAAGAACAGAAACCCCAGAGCTCTTCAAGGACTCTGGGAATCCTTAATAAATATATTTCCCACAATTGTGGCAAAGAATGTATCCTTTGGATCCTCCTAGGTTGGGTGAGCAGGCCTTACACGATAAATTCACTCTAACATTCCAATCTCCCTTAAATTTTTAATACCTTGTGTTATGAAAAAAAACTTGAGACTGTAATATCCCCCTAAAACTGAGAAGAAACCATGAAACCAAAGAATGACTCAGGCAAGTCCAATTTGATGGGTAGATGAGTTTATTAGGACTTATATACAAGGCACTCCTGGATGGCGGCAGTAGCGGTCTAGATATCTGCACCACCTCCCATCTCTAACCTGCTTTTAAGCTAATTTTATGGCTTGAGCAATGATACTTTTTTTTTTTTGGTAGGTTCTCCGATACTCTCTAGTATGTGTGGGTTCTCAGGGACACCTGCTCCTTCGTTCGGCGCCATGGTTTTGACTCACTGCCCAGCCTTCAGGGTTTAGGTATCAGACATGCACACCTATTAGCCTCTTGGAAGACCTGTGACACTACACATTCCTCTACAGTACACCAAGGCACTCCTGGCATTACAATTAAATATAGTATAGGGTAATGTCTTTCTGTGTCCAAGATAACCAGCCAAATAAACTGCTATAGTCATTTCTAACCAAATTAGCTATATCATTGAATCTAGAATCTCCATTTGGCTCACATGAATAAACTTGGTCTGATCCAATGCTGTATTCATTCAACCACTATCCCAAATGTTTAATTCTGTTAATATTCATTGCTGTTAGTATGAAGAAGAAAAAATCATTCAGTTCTTTTGGATTGTGTGCATTCTCTTATGGGTCATTCTTTAAATTTCATCATTTGGTTACCTGATACTTGAGGTAACTACCTTAGGAGAGGTCATTACAGCTTCTTCAGGCAATTGAGGGTTAACAAATTCAGAAAGGGATAGAAGCGCTGCATCTACTGACAAGAACTCAGTAGAATTTAGGGGTTCAATATTCCTAGATTGATCAGGATCCTTCCCAGGTCCCCCATTCCAATTTCCGGGATACCCTTCCTACTCAATCAATGCTGTAACTTTAAAAGAGTATACCTTTTATGGATGGGAATTCAGTTTGGATCATAATTTACCCATTTGTAAGATTTGCTAATTACAGCATTTGTAAGATTTGGATTGAGTTATCAGAAACCTCTGCTCTGGCTATAGGAGATAAAGGTTTATTTCAGGCCAGATACGGAAATTCTCAGGTTGTGTAAGTTCAGCTGGAACTAGAAATTTAAATACATTCTTTAATTTTTCTCCACATTTCCCAGGATAATTATTAGCAATTATCCAATCTTATTATAACTATTATTTTGACAAATGTGTTGTAAGGTGTCAAGTGTATGGTCACCCAAAACTTACCTTTTGATTAGGAGCATTTAATGATAATATTTTGCTTATCTCTACTGCCACAGCACAATACTGCCATCAGTGCCATTTTTACCAGTGGAAACAGTCCATCTGTACCACTGGAAACAGTTACTAATGAATTTAAATCTAATCACATTAAAGAATCAATTCTAGAAACCCTGGAAGCAATTCAGAAAACATAATTTATAACAACTCTCAATATCAAAGTCTATGTCATTCAGGATTTTTTTCAGGGAGAGAAACATAACCAATACGTTGTATGTGTGTGTGTAAAACATAATACATATCCATAGGGGTGTGTGTGTGTGTGTGTGTATATAAATGTATATATGTATGTGTATTATATATATATATATATGTAGTCTTATACTGCGTAACAATGCTTCAGTCAATGATGGACAACATATACAATGGTGGTACCATAGGATTATAATGGAGCTAAAAAGTTTCTTTCACTAATGATGTTAGAGCTGTCATAATGTGGTGGTGCAACTCTTTATTCATGAATTTGTGGTGATGCTCATGTAGGCAAAGACACTGCACTGCCTGTAGTATAAAAGTATATCACATATAATCGTGTACAATGTATAATACTTGATAATGAAATAAACAACAATGTTAATTATTCATTTACTATACTATATTTTTAGGTTGTATTTTTTTAGATTGTAATCCTTCTGCTTTTCTTAAAAAAGTTAACCGTAAAATAGCTTCAGGCAAGTTCTTCAAGAAGTATTTCAGGATAATATATTCTTATCATAGGAGATGACAGCTCCATACATATGATTGTTCTTAAAGAACTTCAAGTGGGACAAGATGTGAAGGTGGAAGACAGTGATGTTGATGATCCTGATCCTGTGTAGGCCTAGTCTAATGTGTGTGTGTGCGTGTGTGTGTCTTAGTTTTTAACAAAAACGTTTAAAAAGTAAAAAAAGGTCCAGGCACGGTGGCTGACGCCTGTAATCCCAGCACTTTGGGAGGCCAAGGTGGGTGGATCATGAGGTCAGGAGTTCAAGATCAGCCTGGCCAAGATGTTGAAACCCCGTCTCTACTAAAAATGCAAAAAAATTTAGCTGGGCATTGTGGCACATGCCTGTAATCCCAGCTACTCAGGAGGCTGAGGCAGATAATTACTTAAACACGGGAGGCGGAGGTTGCAGTGAGCTGAGATTGCGCCACTGCACTCCAGCCTGGGCGACAGAGTGAGACTCCATCTCAAAACAAAACAAAAGTAAAAAAAAAGTTTACATAGAAAAATGCTTATTGAATACAAATAAAGAAGATTTGTACAGCTGCACAATGTGTTTGTGTTTTTAGTTAAGTGTTATTATAAAATAGTCATTTTTTTAAATTAAAAGTATATAAGGTAAAATAAATTGCAGTAGGCTACTGTGAACTAATTGAAGTAAAGAGATCACTTTATAAACTTAGTGTAGCACAGGTGTACAGTGTTTAGAAAGTCTACAGTACTGTATAGTAATGTCCTAGGCCTTCACAGTCATTCACCATTAACTCCCTGACTTACCCAGAACAACCTCCAGTCCTGCAAGCTCCATTTATGGCAAATGCATTATGTAAGTATAAAAACTTTTGTCTTTTATATCATAATTTCAATGTTCCTTTTCTATATTTAAATATGTTTTGATACATAAATCCTTAATATTTTGTTACAATTGCATACAGTATCGAGTACAGTAACATGCTGTACAGTTTTGTAGCCTAAGAGCAATAGACTACACAATTTATCCTAGGTGTATAGTAGGCTGCACCACCTACGTTTGTGTAAGTACACTCTGTGATGTTCACACACCAATGAAATTGCCAAAAGACACAGGCCACATAAGGTATCCATGTCATTAAATGAATATATTTACGCATGTTGTGTGTGTTGATAGATGAATGTATGCTTTTATTTTCATTTTTGACAAAATATATTGTTAGCTTTTTTACATAGACACTGTGTACCAAGAACAGGAAAAATTTAGGCAAGGACTCTGCTGTCTAAGTGACTGCATAACAGTTGAAAAAAATAGTCAACCAAACAGACTGTTATAAAAAGTGTATCAGTTTACATGATTGGGAAAGTATATTTTTTAAGAGCTCAGAGGAGGATTATATAATAGAGACCAAAAATGTCAAGATAGTGGGATCCCTGCTTTTCCTAAGGGCAGATTTATTCTGGCTATTCTCATGTCTTGGAAACTGCTTCTCCTAAATAATTGTATGGTTTATCCCCTCAGTTCATGCAGATATCTATTTAGAAATCCATCTCACTAGAGCCATTTGCCTTATCACTTTATCTCTTCATGATATTTATTCACCTTACTCTAATTCATTTTTTTCATCACAGTGCCTGATATCACTTAGTTTTTTGTATGCATTTGTGTGAGACCAAGGAAAGCATAAATTTTACTTGTATTATTTATCAATGTATTTTTTCTTAGTATCTACAGTAAATTTTAACACATTGTAGGCATTCAAAACAATTTTGTTGAGAGAGATAGAGTAAGATAACAGAATAGGTCTGTCCGGTGATAATAATCTGCCACACAAATACCAGTTTGAACAACTACCCATGTGCAAAAATATCTTTACAAGAGTTAAAGAAATAAGTTGAAAAGTGACCTTTTTGTAGCACAATTAAAAAAAAAAGATGTTTTGAAGAAGGTTGGAAGGACAGTTTTACAGTATTGAGTCACCCATTCCCCAAGCACATTCAGCACAATAAACAGAGAGATAACATTTGCTCCAGGGAGAAATGAGGAATTGAGCACAGGACTTGGCCTTGGACCTCAACAGGGAGTCCTGCACAATAAAACCCAGCACCAGGAAAACACCTAGAGCTCCCTATTCTAGGAATATAACTGTAGACTAAGCATCTAAGCCCATCCCAGAACCAGGTGGGATTACAAAGCCCCAGGCTTTAGGCTTGCGTGGCAGACTCTGTCTCCAGCCTGCACCACCACTGGGCCAACTGTAGTGGCCCCAAACTCCTGACAGACAACAGTGACAAGCAGGCTTCAGTGGCCCCAGGATCCAGGCACTACTCAGTGCTGTAAAAGCTGTGTAAATCCCTGGACTCCTGGTGTGCTCCAGTGCCACCCTGGCCACAGTTTCCCCAGGCTTTTGGTCTGCTCAAGAGCCATAATAACCACAGAGACCTTAGGCTTTGAGACCACACCAAATGGCTTGTCCATAATCTCTGGACAGGCTGACAATTGATAAGCTTTCTCAGATAAAGACAGTCTATATAGAAGATAGAGTAAAAAGCTACTTATTTGAATGTGCAGACATCAGCACATGACTACAAGGATCAAGAACAACCAGGAAAACAGGATATCAACAAAAGGGGGGTAAAATAAAGTATCAGTAACCAACTCTAAAGAAATAAATATTTATGAACTACCTGAGAGAAAATTCAAAGTAACTTTTTTTGAGGAAGCTCAGCCACCTCCAAGAAAATAAAGAGGATCAATTCAACAACATCAGAATACAATAAGTGATCAAAATGAGCAATTTAATATGGAGATTGAGACAAAAAATTAAACCAAATTTTGGAGCTGTAAAATACAATAAATAATATTTTAAAATGCAATAGAGAGCATAAACAGCAGAATTGATTTAGCAGAAGAAAGAATCTGTTCACTCAAAGACAGATTACTTGACAATATATCAAAGGAGAAAAAATAGAAAAGAATAAAAAAACTGAAGAATGCTTATGAGATTTATAGGAAAGCTTAAAAAGAGCAAATGTATGAGTAATAGGAGTTAATAAGGAGAGGAGAAAAATAAAGGAGTAAAATGCTTTTCTAAAAAAAATAGTAGCAATAAACTTTCCGAGCCTAATGAAAGAAGTACTCATCCAGGTAAAATGTAGTCAAAGGTCTACATTCAGATTCAATTCACAAAAGACTACCCTAAAATATATTAGAATCAAGATGTCAAAAATTAGAGACAAAGAGGATACTGAAAGCTGCAACAGCATATAAGAAAATAACATAAAAAAGAGTTTCAATATAGCTAGCAGCGGACTGCTCTATAGGAACTTTTGAAGCCAGGAAAGAGTAGAATAATATAAACATTGTGCTGAGAAAAATACAAAAAACTAAAAATTAAAAACTGTCAATCAAAAATATTTTACACATCAATGATATTCTTGAGCCTGAAGGAGAAATAAAGACATTCCCAGACAAAGAAAAACTGAGGGAATTCATCACTATGATGTCTGTCTTGCAAGAAACGCTAAAGGGAGGTTTTTAAGCTGAAATTTAAAAAATGCTAATAACATGAAAAAAAGGAAAGTGTAAAACACACTGGTAAAAGCAAGTGCATAGAATAATACTTTAAGGGTGGTGTGTAAATTACTTATACTTTTTTGTATAAATGTTAAAGGACAAAGCTATTAAAATCATAACCACTATAATTTATTAAGAAAAATACAAAAAAGATGTAAATTATGATATTAGACCCTCAAAATATGTGTGGGGATAGTGGAGTATTACTGCACAAGTGATTTTTAAATTTTCTAATCAAAGTTAAGTTGTTATCAGATATCTTAAACAGCAGGTTTAAGACAACCTGCTGTAATTATAAGATTTCCTTTTCAGCCTAATGGTATCCACAAAACAAAAACCAATACCAGAGGTACAAAAAGACAAGGGAATCAAAACATTCCATTAAAGAAAATCACTTAGCCATATATGAAACAGCAAGAGAGGAAAAGAGAACAAAGAATCTACAAAACAACCAGAAAAAGCAGACATTACAACCGACACTACAGAAATACAAAGAATCAGAAGAGGCTACTATGAAAAATTATATAACAACAAAATTGTAAACTTAGAATACATTGATATATTCCTTGACACAAACAACCTGTAAACACTGAATTATGAAGAAATAGAAAGCCAAAATAGGACATTAACAAGAAATAGGATTAAATCTGCACTAAAAATATTTTATCAAAGAAAAGCCCAAGAGCTAATGACATCTCTGATACATTTTATTAAACAATCATAGAAAAAGTAATACCATTTATTCTAAAACTCTTAAAAAAAACTGAGAAAGAAGAACTACTTCCAAACTTATTTTAAAGACCGGGATTGGCCTGATACAAAGGCCATATAAGAAAACTGTAAAAAAAGAAAACTACAGGATAATATTCCATATGAAAATAGATGCAAAAATTCTCAACAAAATATTATTAAACCAAATCAAACAGTTCATTAAAAGACCATTCACCATTATCAACACCATTCCCATTTCACAGGGAAATACTGAAAGCTTTTTTGGAACAACAAAAATCTGGAACAAGACAAGAATGCACACTCCTGACACTTTTATTCAACATTGTACTAGAAGTCATAGCCAGAGCAATTACGCAAAAGAAAGAAATAAAAGGCAACAAAATAGGAAAGAAAAAGCTAAAATCATTTTTGTTTGCAGATGATGTGAACTTATATATAGAAAACACTAAAGATTCCAGCAAAAAACTCTTAGAACTAATAAAAAATGCAGTAAAGTTTCAAGATACAAAATTGACATACAAAAAGTACTAGTGCTTCTATATACACTAACAGCAAACTATCTAAATGAAATCAAGGAAAACAATTTCAATTGCCTAAAATAAAAATAAACTATGCAGAAATAAGATTACTAAACAAATGAAAGCCCTAATACTGAAAACTATAAAACAGTGATGAAAGAAATTGAAAAAGACAAAAATAAATATACAAATATCTTGTGTTTATGGATTGGAAAAATTAATATTATTAAAATATGTACACCAAAGCAATCTACTGATGCAATTGATTTACTATCAATATATGAATGACAATGCAATTACTATGAAAATATCAATAATGTTCTTCACAGAAATAGAAAAATCTGTAACATGTATGATACCACAAAAGATCTTCAATAGACAAAGCAATTTTGAACATAAAGAACAAAGCTGGAATCATCAAACTTCTGGCCTGACTTTAAAAAATATGACAAAACTATAGTAACTAAAACATCATGGCACTGGCATAAAAACAGACACTTAGACTAATAAAATAGAGTTGAGATCCCAGAAATAAATCCATGCACTTGCAGTCAACTGATTTTTGGCAAATTTCCATAGCCCAAAATGGGAAAGAACAGTCCCTTCAACACATGGGACAGTTGGATAGCCATATATGGAAGAATAAAACTAGACCCTTATCTCACAGCATATATGAAAATCAACTAAAAATGAATTAAAGACTTAAAGGTAAATCTGAAACTAAAAAGCTACTAGAAGAAAACAAAGGTGTAAATCTCTGTAACTTTGGTTTAGGAAATTTTTTTTTGTATATGACCACAAAAGGTACAAGCAATAAATGCAAAAATAGACAAATAGAATGATATCAAACAAACAAGTTGTTTTCACAGCAAAGAAAACATTCAACCAAGTAAAGAGACAAACTACAAAAGAGAAGACTGTATTTGCAAACAAAATATCTAAAATGGGTTTAATAGCCAGGATATATAAAGTAAAACTTAATACCTAGAAAACAATCTACAGAATGGGAAAAATATTTGCAAACTATGTATTTGATATGGAATTAATTTCCAAAATATAAAAGCAATCCAAGCAAGTGAATAGCACGAAAACAAATAACATAATTTAAAAGTGGACAAAGATCTGAATAGACATTTCTCAAAAGAAGACATACAAATGGTGAACAGATACATGGAAAAATGCACAATGTCATATGTCATCAGGGAAATGAAAATTAAAATCAAATATCACCTAAACCGGCTGGAATGGCTATTGTCAAAAGACAAATGATATCAACTATTGGGAAGGATGGGGAGAAAACAAAAACCTCAGATACTGTTGGTATAAATATATATTAGTATTCTCCTTTAGAAAATATTATGGAGGTTCCTCAAGAAGTGAAAAATAGAAATATCATAAGATCCAAAAATTCCACTACTGTATATGTATCTAAAAGAAATAAAATCAGCACATTGAAGAGATCTCTGCACTCCGATGTTATTGCAGCACTATTCACAATAGACAAGATTTGGAATCAACCAGTATACATCAACAGATAAATAGATAAGGAAAAAGAGGTATATACACACAATGGAGTACTATTCAGCTATTAACAAGAAAGTGGGCCAAATATAGTGGCTCACACCTATAATCCCAGCCTTTGGGAGGCCAGGGTAGGTGGATCACTTGAGCTCAGATCACCAGTCTGGGGAACATGACAAAACCCTTTCTCTACAAAAAATACAAAAATTAGTCAGGCATGGGGGCACACACCTGTAGTCCTGCTACCTGGGGAGCTGAGGTGAGCAGATCACTTGAGCCCAGGAGGCTGAGGCTGCAGTGAGCCGAGATGGTGCCACTGCACTCCAGCATGGGCTATGGGAGACCCTGTCTTAAAAAACAAAAAGGTAATTCTGTCTTTCAACAACATAAATAACCTGGAGGACATTATTTTAATTGAAATAAGCCAGGCACCGAAAGACACATACTGCATGATCTCAGTTATATGTTAGATCTAAAAAACTTGAACTCATAGAAGTGGACAGTAGTATGGTGTTTGCCAAGGACTAGGGTGGTTGGGAGTGAAGTGGCAAGATGTTGGTCAAATGATACAATATTTCAGTTAGATAGGAAGAATAAGTTCAAGAGATCTATTTTACAACATGGTAACTATAGTTAAAAACATATAGTATTCTTTAAAAATGTTAAGATAGCTATGTATTCTCACAACAAAATGACACGTATGTTAGGCAATGCATAGGTTATTTGCTACATTTAGTTGTTCCAAAAGTTACATTTCAAAGCATCACATTGTACTTGATAAATATATGCAATTTTATCTGTCAGTATAAACAGAGCAATAAAAAACAATGGATAAAGCTGGAGGCCATTATCCTTAGCAAACTAATACAGGAGCAGAAAACTAAATACCACATATTATTCTTACTTATAAGTGGGAGTTAAATGATGGGAACACATGGACACATAGAGGGAAACAACACACATTGGGGTCTTTCAGAGAGTAGATGGTGGCAGAAAGGAGAGGATTGGGAAAAATAATTAATGGGTACCAGGCTTGATACCTGGGTGATGAAATGGCCTGTACATCATGACACAAATTTACCTACGTAACAAAACTGCACTTGTACCCCTGAACTTAAAATACAAGTTAAAAAAAAAAACTGAGGTTAAAAATGAATAACTCTAAAAAACCCCCACAAACAATGGCATTGAAGAGATGTATAACAAAGAATAATTTGAATGTGAAGTCAGGAATTGGTGTTACAGGGGCAAGATAAGAGGCTGAAATTTAACTTTATTATTAAATCAAGCATCACCTGATTAAAAATTAATTCAGGCAAAATAGACTGGAAGAGAAAAGAGTGAGTCACATAGGTCAGTTGGGAGAATCTGGTGGTATTCCTAATGAGAGATTACGGTAGTATGCTCAGAGAGACATGGTGGGTTGGAAATTGCACAGATAACAAGAGTCTTTTAAAAATAAAAGTACATGCTTTTCAATGAATTCTATATGGGAGTAAGGAAAAGAACCAAATCAAGAATAAAATCTAAGGTTTTTATTAGGAAAACTTTATTTTCCACAGAAGAGAAAAAAAGGGCAAGTGTATGGATTTGGAGTAATGACTGACATATTACACCTTTTGAGTTTCAGCTGCCTAAGGAACATATAATTGGACATGTCTATTGATGTTTAATATAGACTCCTTATTATTGAAATTATGTGACTGAGCACAGATATACTTTTATTATTTGCATCTTGATTTGGCTTCTCCCAGAACAAGATCCAGAGAGAAGAAAATAAATGAAAATCATTTATTTGGCAGAAAACATCAATATGAGCATGGAGAAGTTAGTAAGGAGAGAAATTAAAGTTAATAATGGATGCACTATCTATCCAGTTACTATTATAAATGTCTGGAATTTAAATTAAAAGGTAAGTTCTCAAAAATGGTGGAAAGCACATGCCTTTAAATTATTCTTTCTGAAAAGAGCTGGCATATATATATATATATATATATACACATATATATATATATATATATATATATATATAAACTATTACCAGTCACTAGAGAAGATGGTCTCAGAGATGTCAAATAATTACTTATTATAATAAAAAATAAAAGTTTTTTGCTAAAATAGATCTAATAGACCATTACAGGAACACAATTAAAATGTAAATATATGGAAGCATTTTCCAACAGTAGTATTAGTTTGCAGTGCAAGTAGGCAGAGAACTTGAGGCTTTGGAAAATGCCTACAGGCCAAGAGATGCTGACGTGTAAAGGCACAAGCAAGTAGTGAGAGCTAAACTATTTGGAGAGAGCACTGAATATAACATCAACAGAGTGTTTTAAATTGTCCCAGTATTTCTCTATTCATAAGTAAAAATTCCTATTAACATTTTAAAAATATTTTTGTATAATTAATTCAATTCTTTCAAAATTAATTTCAGATTCAGTTTTGTAATAAAGCAGAATTCTATGGCTTTCTTATTGTCTTCAAGCATCCAGGAGTGACTGTACATTATATTAAAAAACTAGATTTTTTAATCATCTATCCAAAATATCCTTCAGAATGTCTTATTGACGTTTAAAATACAGTTTCAATATTAGTAAAATAATTTTAATGCCAAATGTTAGGGTAATTAGTCTAAAAAATCATTATTTTACAGCCATAACCACATTAAGTGACTTCTCTGAGTTCATTTATATCTAAATTTTCTTATGCTTGAAATTGTTTCGACTGTTTCAAAATGACTAAAATGAAATATCATTTAGAATAAAATTACTGTTTTCATAGTTGCTTTAATTTCAGTTTGCTCCATTATCTTTCTTCTCTATCTCTAATATTTTCTATGGATATGATTTATCACAGATACAGTTACTGAAGTTATTTTCAACTAATTATTTGCACATTTGAATTATGCTTCTGTAATGGTCTGTTAAATGTATTTTAGCCTAAATTTTTATTATTTATTATAATATTTAGTTGATATTTCCAATAAAGCATCCCATATTGTTTGTTTTGCTTATTTTTCTTATATATTATTTGATCAAACTTATATATGATATAAAATAAATGTTGGATAAGATATCAAACATGTCTTCAAAATAGAAATTTGATGACAACCAGTTTATGTATGATATATATGAAAGTAAAAATTTTGCGTTTTAAACCCTTTACAGTACATTTCTATTTTGGAAGTATGCAGTGTGACATGAACCTAAATACCTCCTAAAATATGAAATTATTTGTATATTTATCATTTCACCTAGTATAAGATAACATTTTATGAAGATATTTATTAAAATGACTACCAAATGTTTAAATTATTTAACTACCAATTTTAATGATAATTGTCTTTAAATTATTTATCCTGGGAATCTTTACCAGTACGTGAATCAGATATAAAAGAGTAGTAATTTAAATTTATATTTTGCTGCATATGACCAAAACTTTGCCAAGAAATAATATCTTTTTTATCTTCAACAACTTTACTGAGGTACATTTGGTATATAAAAAAATGTACTGCATATATATAATGCATACAATTTGATGAGTTTGGACACAGACATACACCCATAAGACCAACTATACAATCAAGGGAATAAATATACCCAGGACCCCCAACAGTTTCCTCTTGCCCTTTCATTTCTTGTTTTTGCCCCTGTTTTTGTTTTTTGGCAAGAAGACTTATTATGAAATTTACACTCAAGATTTTTAAATGATAAATATGATATTGTTAGTTACAGGTATTGTATTGTACTATGGATATCTAAAATGTATTAATCTAGCATAACTGAAACTTTATGACCACTAAACAAATCTCTGCAACAACATTCTACTCTCTGATTCTACTAGACTATTTAAGATATCTCACATAAGTGGAATAATGTAATATTTATCCTTCTGGGCCTGGTTTATTTCACTTAGCATAATTTTCCCCAGGTTCATCTATGTTGTTAAATATGGAGAAGTTTTTTTCCTACTAAAATAGTAAATAGTATTTCATTATATGTACATACCATATTTTATTTATCCATTCATCTATAGATGAGTAAAAAATTTAGGCTGTTTCCACCAGGCACGGTGGCTCACGCCTGTAATCCCAGCACTTTGGGAGGCCGAGGAGGGTGGATCACGAGGTCAGGAGATCGAGACCATCCTGGCTAACACGGTGAAACCCCGTCTCTACTAAAAATACAAAAAATTAGCCGGGCATGGTGGCGGGCGCCTGTAGTCCCAGCTACTCGGGAGGCTGAGGCAGGAGAATGGCGTGAACCCAGGAGGCGGAGCTTACAGTGAGCAGAGATAGCGCCACCGCACTCCAGCCTGGATGACAGAGCTAGATTCTGTCTCAAAAAAATAAACAAATAAAATAGAAAAATGTAAAAAAAAAATTTAGGCTGTTTCCATAGCTTGATTAATGTGAATAATGTTGTGATGAACATGGGACTGTAAATATCTCTTTGAGGTCTTGATTTAAACTTTTTTTGATGTATACTGGAAATTAGGACTGCTGAATCATATGGTAGTTCTATTCTTAATTTGTTTTGGAACCTCCATATTCTTTTCTATAGTGGCTGGACTATTTACATTTCCACCAACAGTGTGCAAAGCTTCCAGTTTCTCCATATCCTCAACATATATTATTTATTTATTTGTTTTATTTATTTATTTATTGTTTAGAAATAGCCATAGTAATAGGTGTGAAGTGATATCTCACTGTGGTTTTGATTTGTATTTCCCTGATTAGTGATATTGAGCATATTTTCATATACCTGTTGGCCATATTAATGTCTTTTTTGGAGAAATATCTATTCAAGTCTTTTTACTATTTTTTATTTGGCTTTTTTTTTGCTCTTAACTGGTAGAAACTCCCTACTTACTTTGAAAATTAACCCCTTTTCATATACATGTTTTGCAAATGTTTTCTTCCATTCCGTAGGTTGCCTTTTCATTCTGGTTTTTTGTTGTTGTTGTTGTTGTTGTTCTGTAGAAGCTTTTCAGTTTGATGTAGTCCCACTTGTCTAATTTTGTTTTTATAATCTGTACTTCTGCTGTCACAGCCAAGATATCATTGCTCAAACCAGTGTCAAGAAGCTTTTCCTCTGTTATCTTCTAGAAATTGTAGAGTTTCGAGTCTTATGTTTAAATCTTTTGTTTGAGTTGATTTTTTCGTATGGTGTAAGATAAATTTTCAATATTTTTTTCTGCATATGGATATCCAATTTTTCCAACGTCTTCTGTTGAAGGGACTATTTCTTCCCCATTGGGTATTGTTTGCCCCCTTGTCAGAGGACAGTTGTATATATATGCACAGAATATTTTTGAACCTTTTAATCTGTTTCATTAGTCTATATGTCTGTCTTTATTATAATACTGTACTTTTATAATTGTAGCTTTTCTATTTCCTTAAAAATGTCATTGGAGATTTTGATAGGAATAACATTTAATTAGTAGACAATTTTGTGTAATATGGATATTTATACAAGTTTAAATCTTCCAATTCATGGACACGGAATGTTTTTCTATTTATTTGTGACTTTAATTTTTTTCATCAATGTTTTGCAGTTTTCAGTATATTAGTATTTCACTTTCTTGGTTAATCTTATTCCTAAGTACTTTATACTTTTATGAAGCTATTGTAAACTTGATTCTGAACAAATGAATAATATGTAAAGAGACTGAATTAGTAATCCAAACCTCTCAACAAAGAAAAACCAGGAACAAATGGCTTCACTGGAAATTCTACCAAACACTTAACAGAAGCATTAACACCAATTCTAATTGAAGAGGTAATAACAATTCCAAATTCATCTTATGAGGTCATCATTACCGTGGTATGAAAGCCACACAAAGACTACAAGAGAAGAAACCTATAAGTCAGTATCCATGATAAATATGAATGCAAACATCTTTCTCAAAATACTAACAACCTAAATTCAACAACACATTAAAAGGATCATATACCATGACTAAGTGGAATTTATCCCTAGGATGCAAGTATAGTTCAACAAACACAAATTGAGTGATATGCTGTATTAACAAAATAAATGATAAAAATTACTTGATCATTTCAATAGATGTAGAAAAGCAATTTGACAAAAATTGACACACTTTTATGATTAAAAACCGAATAAACTAGATATAGAAGGAATGTACTGGCTACCTATCAGGCACTACGTTCACTACCTTGGTGACAGGATCATGTATACACCAAATCTCAATGACACACAATTTACCCATGCAACAACTTGCACATGTACCCCAAACCTAAAATAAAAGTAGGCAAAAAAGAAGTTTACCTCAACATAATAAAGGCCATATATCACAAGCCCACAGCTAACATCACACTCAATGTTGAAAAAGAGAAATCTTTTCTTCTAAAGTTAGGAAGAAGGCAAAGGATGCAGATGTGCCATTTCTGTTCGAAATAGTACTGCAAGACCTAGCTAGAACAACTAGGCAAGACAAAGAAGTAAAATGCATCTAAATTGGACATGAAGGAGTAAAATTATTTTTGTTTGAGAGTGGCATGATTTTATATATAGAAAACACTGAAGACACCACAAAAAGCTGTTAGCACTAATAAATTAAAATTACAAGACACACAATCACTGTACACAAACCAGTTTGTTTCTGTGCATTAACAATGAAGTACTTAAAAAGAAATTTAAAATTCTGGTCACATTGATACCATGAAGTCAATCACCTATTGAACTGTTAAACTGAATTGTTTTTAATATACTTAAGGATGGATTAATAAATTAATGCTAAGCTAGATCAATTTTTTCTATGATTACATGATGCTATAGCAAAGTCCTATTGCCTTCTGGCCAGAAATTCACAATTAAGGAATGAGTCATAGAACTGAGTCAATCAAATAAGTAATATTATTTAATTAGACATTCTTCTTGTAGTTAGTTGCTAGTTTTCCAATTCAACCTGAGTTCTGTAGCCTGTGGTTCCATTGTAGAGTTCTTAAACATAACATTGACCATCTTGGAAACGGCTTCTGATTTATATTTCTTTGGATTTAATTTACTAGTGTTAGCTGTGCAAGTTTGGGTTGGAACAGAAACATAGCCATATGTGAAAAGCTTTCATAATATATTAAATATGTGTATATATTAATAAGAAAAATAATTTAAAATAGCAAATGTATTGAAACTATTCAGCTGGATAAAAGATAGAAAAGGAGTTGTTCTATAGTAATAATTAGAAATATATCTTTATCCATTCATCCTTTAGTGGACATTTAGGTTGATTCCATATATTGGCTATTGTGAATAGTGCTGCAATAAACATGAAAGAGCAGGCATCTCTTTGATATACTGATTTCATACCCATATTTTAAAATTCTCATTTTATGTCTCTACTTCATACCTCTTATATACCACAATGTCAATATAAACAAAATTAAACTGCTATTTTCCCCCGAAGTTTGCCTGCATGTGATGAAACCTTAATCAAACTAGTTTCCTTTGATAGTATTTCAGATTTAGAAGTCATTCTTAATCTCTCCTTCTTTCTCATGAACTCACCTTCTCATTTTAAAAATATATAAAGTTTATTTTATTTTAATTTTAAATATTTCTGTAATCCTTTATTAACTACTGTTTATACCTATGTTTAAAATGCTGTCAATTTTCAAATGAATTGCTATGCCATCTGCATAAGGAGTATCCATTTTTGACATGGCAATGAAAAATGATATTTTAAAAATAAACATCTGTTCACATTTTGAAAAGACTTTCAAAATCTCTCTAATTACTTTCAGATAACAGTCAAATATTTAACATGAATTTGAATGATCTATAGAAATGCTTGTGTTAGCATCCCTATATCAGTTCTTGTCTGTTTCTTTTAGACATGTGCTCATTGAAAACAGATGCATTTTTCTATACTATCTCTTTCTTGACCCTCAGGCCTACTTCAGTTTTTTTTTTCAAAATATTAATGACATAAATTTAAAAATAATAATTAAATGAAGTATTTCAAACTACAGCTTTTTAAATATTACAAATACATTAAGAAATACTCTAATTTGTTAAACATATGGGCTTGTAAAGACAGATACATGGATTTCAGTTCCAATCTTGCTATTAATTTTTTTCTTTGATATTCAGCATAATATTCCACAGAAAATCACACTGGCTCATTCCAGTGACAATTTCAGTATAATTGAGCCTGGTAAGAGGATAAACATTTTAGTTTCCTTAAGAAGACACAGGAATGTAAGAGGGTAGAAAGACTCATAAATGAAAAAAGTATTACCAAAAGGGGTTTAGAATCAAAAAAAGGATAAATTAAGAAGTTCTAAAATACGTTGGCATTGAGACTTTGGTAATATCTGACCATCTCAGGAAACTGGCTACAGGTCAATCTCTGTAATGCAATGTAATGGCTGATAGTCTCTCCTTGGGAGCATATGTATCAGAGGCAAAACTTTGCTTTATAAGCTGAATGTTATGTGGCCACCACTGCTCAGAGAAGATCCTGGGATCTCAAAATTCCACTAATGTTTGCAAATGTTATTGCTTGTCAGAGGAAAAAAGTCAATATCACTTGATTATCTTTCCTCTGTTTTGCCAAATCCAGGAAGAGAATGGATTCTGCCACTGTCTCTTTCAGTGACTTTTATGATACATTGCACCATCAAAAAGGAAGTGCGGAGATAGTCAGATCTTTATGCATCCTTTCAATATCTTACTGTATGAATCCCACTGGAAGAAATTTTGAGGATCTCCGGAATATTAATAGGGGAAAAATACTTTACCCTCCACCCTTATCTTCCATTTCAGTGGAAATAATGGCACAGTGTATCTAAACGGAGATTAATTTGTTCCCGTACTATATTTAGATTTCCACTTTTTCTACTAACCTATAAGTATCATCAAAGTACCCTGGCAAATATAAAGAATAATATGAAAATCATGAATATAGATTATACTAGCTTATTTGAACCCTTGCCTTCAAAATATGAAAAGAAATATATACATCGTGCAATATCAATTCCTCAGTTTAAATTTGGCAATATTTCCTTTACCTGTATGAATTTTCCACCATCACCTATTACATTTCTTTTTAAATTATTAAAATTTTTTTAAATAACCAGAATTTCATGCTATACAAGTCTTAGATATACAGAAAGCTAAAATAAGAGAAATGCACAGACGGATACTGCAAGTATAGCCATTCTCCTAGGCTTATTTCATGATCACCATGGGATTCACTTGTAAATAGGATGGTGTCAAGAAGGGTGAAGGCTCTAACATTTACCCTACTTTCAAGCTAACAAGTTATCCTCCTATAGTTTAATGGTTTGCTTAGAGAGCGTGTGAGGCACTCCATATCAGAGACAAAGGATTTTTTTAAATTTCTGAATAGCAAGATGGACAAACTTCATAATTACATCAATTCTTCCACTCCTGCATCTCTACTACAACCCAGATCCTCAGCATATGATGCACGTATGTTGAGGTGTACTCAGCACACACAGTGGGTTTGTGTCACAGATGGTATACCTCAATATTAGAAAATCCAGTCTTTTGTAATGAACTGCAAATAAACCTTTCCCATCTGTTTCCTAGATGGACAACTTATCTTTATTAAATTGAGTAGTAAATAATCCTGCCCTCTGCCCTGGAAGAAGACACTGTCTTTATCTTCCAATGCTGTTCATTATATAACATCCTTGAAAAGTAATGAAGAGAGAGGGGGTAAAAAGGCTGTTTGTGTTTTTTTTTGTAGGAGTTACTGAAATGTTAAAGACACCATGGATACTTACTTCCCAACAGTGGAAAAGACAATTGATTGTATGGTATGAATGAATGGTGGGTGTATTAGTCCGTTCTTGCACTGCTAAAAGATACTAGCTGAGACTGCATAATATGTAAAGGAAAGAGGTTTAATTGACTTACAGTTCCACATGGCTGGGGAAGCCTTAGGAAACTTACAATCATGGTGGAAGGCAAAGCGGAAGCAAGGACGTTCTTCAAATGGTGGCAGGAGAGACAAGTGCATGAAGGAGGAGCAAACACTTACAAAACCATCTGATCTCAGGAGAACTCACTCACCATCTCAAGCATGGGGGAAACCACCCCCATAATCCAATCACCTCCCATGAGGTACCTCCCTTAGACATGGAAATTATGGGATTACAATTCAAGATAAAAGTTGGGTGGGGAAAAACCATGTCAAACCATATCAGTGGGGATCTTGGAGGTGAGAATGGAACTTGGACAAAAATCTATCTGTATTTCCAATTGCTTATCCTGGAAATACTACTTTAAATTAATTAATTATTAAGCATTTACTGACCACTCATCATACATAATTGCATTAAATTAATTCATTTTTAAAGAATGCATATTTTGTTTAAAATGAACACAATTCAGCCAACTGGTGCCTTACATAAATACATTAACATTCTTCAGTCATCATTTTATCTGCCAATGTGGACCTAAACTGAAAACAAATTTTAAAAATGGGGACAATAAAAAGAAAGTCTGACACAGGAAATTTCTCAGAGGATCCAGGCATGTCCAGAGAGTGGTGAGTACTCAAAAATGATTGTGACAATCATGTGGGAAGGTGTGTTGTATGAAGTCATGATAAGAGCACTGGAAAAGAAGGTTGAAAAATGTTCCAAGCAAGCTTCTCTTAATTTGTAATTGCCTTTTGGTTTGCCCTCATTACTTAAGCTGGTCACTTTTTTAAGAAAATCACTATTATAAGGCTAATAATTCAACTTAATTGCATTTTAGTTGAATGTACATTTACTGTAATTTTACATATGTAATTGAGTAAATCATCCAAGAAGAGTAGTCTCACTTTATAAATTATGCAAATAGTCTTTCCAAGCAATAGTATTAATGTACTTACTGTATAATAATTCAGACACGTCACTAGAATTAGTCTCAGATTGAACCCACTACCACTTACTAGCTCTATGACATTAGACAAGTTTCTTAATTTCTGAGTCTCCTCTTGTAAAATATCAATGGACTTTGCACTTACACTAACATTTCTTGTGAGTATACAACACATTTATGCATGTGAAGTGCATAGTACTATACTGGAGTAATTGTATCCACTTTATTTATAGGAGGAACTACCATATTAGCATTATTATTATTTCAGAGAACAGAGTAATCTTCTTGGGGTAGCTACCTCTGAAGAAAATGGAACAAAGATTACAAAGTAAAAATGATACTTACAGACGCTAGGCAGAAATTTGAAAGTATAAGATAATATAGTGCAAAGATAATTCCATAAATTATGTGGTAAGTACAGTAAACTTTCTGCGATTATGGAAGATAGGATCTTGTTTCAGCTACCTAATTGAAATCTATTGCATCAAAAGGAGCCACAAAATAGTATAACAGAAAACTGGAAATAATTAATTCAGGGCAATGGAGTTTCTGAAAAATGTAGGTGAGGATTCTAAAGAGAAAGCAAAACATAAAAAAGTAAGAGATTGGATGTCATGCCATCCAAGATAAAAATATAGTGTCCTTTACTGTTACTTATGAGGTCATAGTTGACCTTTAGACAGTTCCAATGTCCACGCTATTTCAGGTTTGTTCTAAATCTATAGGATTTGGAGTAGAATTGGCCACTGCAAAATATTAGACTTTCTTTCCCTCTAAATCTCTAAATTTCAGGCATACTTTTAGGAACAAACTTGTTATGATTAAATGGTGAAAGATGGCTTAATGTGTAATATCAACAGCATTAAAACTTTTTATTATACTGCTAAATGTGGCCTTAAAGAGAAACAGCATTCTTCATTTTACATATTGAGCAAACTAAACTTAGAAATCATAAAGGCTGCATGTGAAAACTCTAGACACAACAGGACTCTGTTTTTATACTGTAGCATCTCCATTACTCCATAATCGCCCCTCATAAGAATACTTACCATGGCATAGTCAAGTATACCAATTTTGGGAGAGGTTTTGAAAGAATCAACATACAACAAATAAAAGCGAAGTACTGCAGATGAAATTGGAGGACCTAATTACAATCACTTTGACAATCAGCTGTATGTGCTCTTTATTTGCCAGTGTACCTCCACACGTACTGTCACAGGGCTTTGCCTATCCAGCTGTTCAACAAAATGCCCACAGAATTGATTTGCTGTGTTTGAAATTTCCATTAATTTGTCAACACTGCTTATACTTCTTTATCCCAGAACCTGCAGAGGTTCTCAGAATGAAATAACATTAAGCTTAGAACTGGTGGGAAGAAATGGTATTTGCCTCGGTTTAAATTATTTGCCCTAATATCAGTGCATCTGTGTCTTATGAAATCAACAAAAGAGCTCTGTTTTCCCTGTTGCTAGTGTTTAACATAAGCGTTCTCAGAAAAGTAAGTAGAATTGAGTGAAAAGACAATTTTTAAACAGTAGCCATTACAATTGTGGGAGTGCTAGAGGAACTCTATATACATTCCCATTTTGTCAAATTTTATTTGATTTATTTTCTCACTTGTATTCCTTACTAATAAAGGACTGACTGATGGACTCATTTATTCCACAAACATTATGAGTATTTTCCCATTACAAGGTGGTCAACTTGGGTGCTGGAATTAAGTGTAACAAGACAGATTTTGTCCTTGGCTTGAAGACGTTGGGAATCTCGTAAGAGAGGCATATTTTTAAAAATGTATGCAAACAATTCATGTTAAAATACATGTCATTAGATTGTACATATAACGAGGTGACCTACACTAGTATGGAGTTTAAGAATGACTTCTTGTGAAGGGATTTTTAAAGAGTAAAGGTAAAGAAAAATTAGTCCATGGAGAGAAGAGAAAAAGCATGCTTGGCAGAGGAGGATTTGAAATTCTGGAAATACGAAGCCTGTATATGTTAGGAAATGAAGGCCTTTTAAAACAGAATGAAGTGGATTTGAAGATAATTTGTAGCCATTTAATACAAGGTTTTGTAATGAAAAGAGGATGCCATTGTAAAGTTTACAGCAAGACCATACTCTTACCTAAATCATAGTTGTAAAGATTGTTCCGATATTCAGTGATGAATCAAACGAAAAGTTACAAGAAAGGACAGGGAAGATAGGTTTACAGCATATTACACAGGTTTAAGTGAGAGGATAGTGGCTCAAACTAGTATCATGTCACTCTATATGAAAAACAGACAAATTTGAAAAATAATTCATGGATGGAATAAAGAAATAAAAGGTGATTGTGTGGAGAAAGAGAGATAGCAGTCACTCCCAAATATTTGTTATGAGTTTCCGACAGAAGACTACTCTTTGTTGAGATTTCAACTAAGTTTTCCAGGTATGTGTATCAATGACAGAAGATCAGCAGATTAAATTAATGGGTGTCCCATGAATTAATTTAAATATTTTGTTTTTGTATTTCCATTGAGGCCCAAGAGTCTGATAGTAAGCAAATAATTGCATATATAAGAATAGAATTTATTAATAGAAAAGAGAAAGGATAGGAGATCTAAAATTAAGTATTGTTGAAGCAAATAAGTGAATGCAAGTTCTAGATGATAGAGAAATTTAAAGCAGAATTTTTTATTTAATAATTTTTGGTCCTAAATAGTAAGCCTGTTAAA
This sequence comes from Homo sapiens, assembly GCF_000001405.40. NCBI lineage: Eukaryota > Metazoa > Chordata > Mammalia > Primates > Hominidae > Homo > Homo sapiens. Next base: position 83,043,046 of record NC_000013.11, read on the forward strand.
CTGCTCAAATTTTCAAATTTTCTTTGACAAATTAATCAAGAAATATTTACTTAAACCATACAATAAGTGCGAAGCACTTCAGAAAACAGAATGAAGTAAGATTCATTCTGTTCAAAGATGAAAAAGGTTATTCTCTCTGGTCTCCTTAATTGGCACCATTCCACTATGTACATATGCATGTATGTGTATGTTTGTATATGATGTCTATATATCTATTATTATACATCTATACGTAATTATCCATATTGTCTACCTATGCATCTATCTGTCTAACCATCTAGTTATTGATACATCCTAGTGTGCAGAAAATCTGATAAATTCAATGATTTCACGGGTAATGTGTAGAATTTAAATGACACAAAAAATGAGTGGGCTGATTTCAGCTGCAAAGACTTAATGTGTTCTGTGATATGGTTTATTTCTGTGGAATTGGTTATTTAAAAAGTGTTCACATTGTTTTTACAAAGCCATTTTTTTTCTGTATGCTCTTTTGACAAAAAAGGCAAAGAAAGTAATTTAAAACCTTTAAAATGATGCATCTATTGCAATATAATTGGTGGCATCATACTGTTAAGAGCAACATCAAATCTCATTTCAGGTCACCTTTTCATTTAGTTCAAAATGACCTTACAGAATGGCTACCATACTGTGCAGAGTCACATACAGTAATATAGCTTTTAAAATGCTGTTTATGTACTATGTTTTATTTTTATTTGATGGAATGTCAATTGGATAGCATTGAGTTTACAAAAAAATGTGATTGCTACCAAAAATATTCATCAGAATTCATCTTTACATATTCATGAGAAAAAGAGTATGTTATAACTTGTGTTTTGGGTAATTTACCATTCAATATATTTCTTGTGTCTCATCATCTACTTTAAAAAACAATGTATTTATAAATGTCATGCCATTTCTTCTTTCCAAACATGACTCTTTTAAGAAAATGGTATACAGTTATTTAAATCCAGCAACCTTTTAGAGTCGTACTTAGTTTAATCATTGTATCTTCTCAGGGAATAAAAATAATGCAATGTCAGAGGGAAAAACTGTTACATGTAAGTATCCTTCACAGTAGTGACTTTTCTTTTATTTTGAGTACAATATATTATCTCAGACAGAGTTCCAGGTCTGATCTCTTCTGTGTGTTTGCTTTAATATCAGTAACCAGGACAACAAGATTTTTAAATGCTTTATGTAGTATAAGTAAAGGGAAAATGGAAAAATGGAGAGTATACAATCTTAAAAGAAGGTATCAGTACTCCTACTGCCACTGTGTGTCACACAAATAATTTTTAAAGTTTTGTTGTTGATTATGCAGGTAATGTATCTTGTATGTCACAAAGAAGTTTAGTTCTACTTTTAGGTTTATTTGAAATGAATTTCTTTGCAGTTATCTACATTTCTTTACTGGTCTTTATGTCTCGCATTACATTTCTGTGTGATGGCTAGCATTAGTTAAATACATCAGTTTTCATGTCTGGAATGGTGCTATGGGGAGTTCTGTGGAACCACAGCCCAGTAGAACACCATAATTGGAAAAAAATTATATTTAAAACAAGTCACTGCAGATTATACTAACAGCATATAGCAAATGAAGAAACATTTATTCAAGAAAATCTACGAAGGCTTTGTAAGAATAAGTAGGGAATGTAGACTTGAGCCATGACTTGCTGTCTTCCTCCCATTGACTCTCCTCAACATGAGGAAAGACTCACTCTGAGCAGCTATGGCCAAAAAGAGAGGTTTTTCTGTCCATTTACTTCCCAGGTAAAGGCTATAGTTCTCTCTAGAAGGTGGAAACCATCAACATATCTCATAATCTTCAATTTCTTCTTGCTGAAGCCAAACTCCAGGAAAAGCAGCTGAGAGAAAGGGGGCTATCTTCCTCCACCCTCGCTGGATGCAAACACCTGAGGTTCTACCCCACGCCAGGGAGACTGAGAATACTTCTCCAATCGCCTTCACCATAGCTCACTTATATCGATAGGGCCAAGCAGAGAAGACAAGAGGCTACCCTCTCTTTCTAGCACCCTACTCATACCCCAGATGTGTTATTATAAGAGAAGTGAACAAGGATCCCCAAACCTAGTTCCAAAGCAGTAACTCAGAAGTTTTGCCCAGTGTAAAATTTAGACCACCAGAACAGCGAGCGCCAAATTTTTCACCAAGGGAATTGACTCATTTTGAATAGAGTGCATGAAAGCGTAAGCCTAAAGATTCTCTCAAAAACAAGAGAGAATTTAATAGTAAGCAATTAGAAAGAGTAGCAGCTTCATGAGAGTGCCCTAATCTTTACACTGAGACAGACAGGTAAGCTGATTGGTTTCCTGTTTTAATACGGTTTGGAGGAAAAAAAAAATATTACTCAAGTTCTAGCTTACCTAACTTGCACCTTGCATCCAATCAGTAACAAAAGACCCAAGAGGCTATTAATTGCATTTCTACTTCAGGGGGTTAGGGACAATCCTGGCCGCCCCTCCACCGCCTCCCCCAACCCCACCACCACATTCAGTTTGACTTAAACTCCAATGTATAGTTACCCCTTTCTTATTTTAATGGTAAAAGTCATGCCCAGTGGTTGAGATTTTAGATGCTCCTTACAATGATGAAGAAGCATGTTGAACCACTGTTTCATTGCTAGAGAAACCTATGCCCTGAGGTAAACCTTCCCTATAGAAAGATCGTGTAAAACTAACTTACACACGATCTGAGAAAGGAAAGAGGAACTTTTTGTCTGAGAATTGCAAGCCCCCTTTAAATGATCTAGCCTAGAGAATAATTGAAATGAGACTGTAGTCATGTCCTACCACACCCCTTTGAGCTAAGTAATCATCTTAAAGCTGCCCACCATACAAATCCTAGACTAAATGTTGCTACAAATAGCTATCAATTTACCTAACAATGCCATACAATGTATACCATAACTTATATCCTGTCGTTCAATGGTGTGTAGTCAATCACTAATGAATGCTATTTTTGTACATCAATGAGAATTTCTGACAAACAACTTTTGTAATCACCTCCTCTCCTGATTTGTCTTTTTTTCCTTAAAAACATGAGCTTCTCCTTTGTTCTCTGGGGCACTTTTCCATGTTTCCCAGGCTGCAGTCCTCAAATTTGGCCCAAATAAACTCTATCTATATTAATTTTGCCTCGGTTTCTTTCTTTAAGAAAACACAGCTAGGAAATCCCTCGTGTGGTCAGAAAATAAACATTCAAAGGTTGGCCTCCATGTCCATTCATGTGTGGCAAATGGCAAGATCTCCTTTCATTTTAAGTCTATATAATATTTCATTGTTTAACTATACCACTTTTTCCTTATTTAGTCAACTGTCAATGGGCGTTTGGGTGGTTTCTGTATCTTGACTATTATTTATAATGGTGAAATGAACATATAAGTGCAGATATCTATAGTAACCATTTTACTATCTGTCTGCATTCCATAACAGTGTGTTATAAATCCCAAACATACGTGGTAAAGTTTATTAAAAAAAAAATACAGGCCGGGCACAGTGAGTCACGCCTGTAATCCCAGCACTTTAGGAGGCCGAGGCAGGCGGATCACTTGAGGTCAGGAGTTCAAGACCAGCCTGGTCCATACGGTGAAACACTGTCTCTACTAAAAATACACACACACACACACAAAATAGCGGGGCATGGTTGCGCACATATGTAATCTCAGCTACTCGGGAGGCTGAACCAGGAAAATTGCTTGAACCCTGAACCAGAAGGCAGAGGGTGCAGTGAGCCCAGATCACACCACTGTACTCCAGCCAGACTCTGTCTTAAAAAAAAAAAAGAAAAAAAAGTGAGACCCTGTCTCAAAATAAATAAATAAACAAATAATAAAAAAGTGGAAAAGAAAGACTGGGCTCAAAAACTACCTTTGCAAATGAGCCCAAGTGGAGTTCGATCAGGGCATTGTCAAAAACAGTAAAGCAATCAGCCAGCAATTAGCGGTATCTAACAGCTAGGTGTGTTGCTAACAGAGGCATACAGCTTAACAGAGATCAGGTAAAGAGACTGTGAAATACAGCTTATCTAAAACCATTGCCAACACAGGGGACTCTATAGATGTTTAATACTATTCACTGAGGAGCAACATGGTAAGGGTATAAGCCTTTCCATGGCAAGGGGAACAGATTTCGTAGAGATAGTCCAGCAAAGTCACAGAACAAAGAAAAAAGTAGACAAGAGAAAAATTAATAAACCCCAAATGCACCTTAAAAGAAATACTAAAGGAAAAGTTTGAGGCTGAAAGCAACAAAACCAGAGAAAAATTTAAATCCACATCAAACAATAAGCACCAGTAAAGGTAATTATGTAATTCAAAATGCAGTGTAATTACATAAGTTTTCTTCTTTCTTCTTTTAGCTGATTTGAAAGACAATTTGAATTTAGGACATGGGTTTCAAAATCTGGAAATGAATTCAAATGATCTCAATAATTAGTCACATAATTTTAGTATGTCATTACATTTTTCCAGACCTTCCTGGTCTATCAGAGGAAAGGTTGTATCAGATGGTCTAAATAGTTTTTAGTCTATATGGCTTCATTATAACATGTTAAATGAATCAATCTAAGTAAAGTAGATTCTTTTTTGCAAGCATTAAACTGCAAAACTTGTAGAAAGCACATTGTCAAGACATGTAAATATATATATATATATATATATATATATATATATATATATATATACACATACATGTTATGGTTTAAATGTGTGTTCTTTTCAAAATTCATGTTGAAACTTAATCCCCATTGTGGTGGTATTAAGATGTAGGGTCTTCGGGAAGTCACTAACTCATGAGAGCTCCACCCTCCTGAATGAATTAATGCTTTTATAAAAGAAGCTTCAGAGATAATTTGCTTCTCTAGCTCTTCCTATCTTCTGCCATGTAAGGACAAAGTGTTGCGTTCCTCCAGAGGATGCAACAAGGTGCCATCTTGGAAACAGAAACAGCAGCTGTCATAGACAATGACCCTCCTGGTGCCTTGATCATTGACTTCCTAGCCTTCAAAACTGTGATAAATAAATTTCTACTATTTATAAATTATCCAGTCTGTGGTATTTTGTTGTAACAGCACAAATGGCCTAACATTAAATAGATAAATATATCTCTATAGATAGATACATACATATAGATATATAGACACGTACATACATACATACTAAATTTTTTATTTCTAAATTTTTTTGTTCTCATTTAATTCTGCAATATGTTTTTACTTTGACTGAATATACTCTCAAAGAGCAAATAGAAATTAAATAATTAACATCAGTAAACATGTTTTGAATATTTACTTTGCTCAAGGCACCAACATATTTTGGAACCAAAAAAGACAGCAAAGTGTTCCATGAATTGAATTCAGTGTGTCCCAATAAAGCCATGCGTTTATTTAGAAATAAAATGTTTGGGAAGAATTGCATGTCTACATCAAGAATGTTATTTTAGCATTAGCTATCAAAGAACATATGAATTTAAATTGTCACTTCTTTTCAGCAGTTAGAAATAAATACCCAATTCCAAAAAATCAGTGTTGCATACCACACAAAAAGACTAATGAGAAAAATATGCATTGTCAGTTTTGGATGAGACAGAGGTACACAATGACTATTGCAAAAATGCACTCAGCTGTGAAATAGAATTGTTTGTTATTTCTTATTCTAGCATTAAATAAATTCTTTTGATGGATGCCAGAATCAAGTTAGAAGAAAATATGAGACTTCTTTTAGAGGATGAGATATAATTAAACAAAATGAATTTAATGGTTTTATAAACTGTGTTTAAGTTCTTTTTAATGTAGATTTATTACTATATTTATGCAGGAAATATTTTAAAATATATAAAGTAAGATGCTAAGTTTCAGATTAGTAAAAAACAATAAATTCTAAACTAGCCAACTTCAGATTTAAACTTTAAATAAAATTTTCTGAAGCTGTATTTGACCAGCTTATCAGAGGGATTATTTTTAAGTTTACGCTTTAATTTTAAAAAATGCACATTGAATAATTTTACCTGGATAACTTGTACTTTACCAGGGAACATAATTCTAACAATATTTTGGCTGATTAACGTTCTTTCTTTATTAGAATTTTATGTATTGATTGATGTCTTATGTCTCCCTAAAATGTATAAAACCAAGCTGTAGCCTGACCACCTTGTACATGTTCTCAGGACCTCCTGAGGAGTTTTCATGGGCATGTCCTTAACTTTGACCAAATCAACTAAATTGACTGAGACTTGTCTCAGATACCTTTTGGTTTACAAAGTCAATGAAGCTCCAACTGAAATCTCATCAGATTTCTTTTTGTAGAAATATGCAAACTAATTTTAAAGAGTGTATAAAACTTAAAAGGACTTTGAATAGTCAACACAATTTTTAAATCAAAGAAAACAGTTAGAACGTGTGCTCTATGTGATTTAAAACTTATAGTAAAGCTACAGTAATTAAGACATGTCACATGGTTTGTGGATATACACATAGATCAACAGGATAGAAAGTCCACAGGTGAACTCTACATGTACAATGATATTCAATCATGTTGTCATGATAATTTAATGAGGAGAATGGCTAATCTTTACAACTATGCTGATGGACCAACTCGATATCCACATGGGAGAAAACAAAACAAAAACTGTTGGACCTCATATCACAAACAAAAAAAAATGAGAATATTTTATAGACCTAAAAATAAAAGCTGAATCTATAAAACTTCCGGAATATAACATGGAAAAAATATGATCTGGGATAGGAAAAACACATGAAAATCTGAAAAAAATAAAATTGGCTTTCATCAATACTAAGAATCTTTTTTTAAATAAAAAAATGAAAAGGAAAGCAGCCACTGAAAGAAAATGTTTGTTTGCAATATTAATATCTGATAATATATGACTTGCATTTGGAAAATATAAAAAACTCTTACAAATATAGAGAAGACAAATCACCCAACTTCAAATGGGCAGAGATTTTGTACATTTTGTTCAATGAAGAACATAGGCTAATTGCAAGTAAGAATCGAAAAACTGACCACCATAATTAGTCATGAGGGAAATGCAAATTAAATCCAAGGTTGGATGTCACTATATTGTGCTAGAATAGCTAAAATTTAAGACTGAGAAAACCAAGTGTTATCAAGCATGTAGATTAACTATAACTCAGATATTGCTACTTTAAATCCAAAATAGTATGATCGCTCTACTAAATATTTGGCAATTACTTATAAAATTAAATACATGCTTACCTTAAGTCCAATAAATCTACTCTTGGACATTTATTTTGGATAAATTAAAATACATATTATTAAAAATACCTGTACAAAAATTTTATTGCAGCTTTCTTTGAATAATAGCCAAAAGTTAGAAACAACAAAAATATCTATCAACAGACGAATGGCTGAATATATTTTGATCTATCCATATATTACAAAAATATTGATAGCAATAATAATATACTGATGTATGAAATAACATGGAAAATTCTCAAAATCTTTATTCTAAGTGACAGAAGCCAAATACAAGAAGGTACATACTAGATCTTTCATTTATATGGAAAATTTAAAAAGGCAAATCTTGTTTAAAGTGACACAAAGCTAGTTTTGTCATGGGTGACATAGAAGAGATAATCATCAGGATAACAGATGTGATCTGTATCTTACTTGTCATTATATTTACTTGTGTGCATGATATATGTGCATGTGAGAAATATGTAATTAAATGAGTTAAAAATCATTCGCTTGTACCCTTAAAATGGGTGCGTTTAATTGTGTTGTAATTTGTAGTAATATTTACTTCAATAAAAACAGACAATGAGAAAGAAAAGCTAGTAAGTATCTAAGTCTGCTTTTTTTCTGAACTCCATTAGTAGTGATTTCTTGAGATAATCACTGGGTTATTGTTAGATTATGTAAAGAGTATGCTTTGCCAAATTCCAAAATTTCCATTATATGGTTGCCAACAGAGTAGGCAAAATATACTGCATTTTGCCTTACTTTTGTTCCATATCTCTGTCTTTAGTAAAGCTTCTTTGTTTTTCACAGAAACCATAGACAGCCAAATTAACAAGGAAACAAAACAAAATCAATGACATTTAAAAGAAAAACAAGGACTTCAAGACACCATGGCTTAATATGATGAATTGTTAAAGGAAACCATACAACCGATGAGGAATACACCTTTGCTTTAAACCCACCCTCTGAGCCACTTTTCTCTTTGACAGTCGATGGAATTCATAAATCATTCCACTCTTTTAAGTAACAGAATGGCTTCCAAGAATTTCAGCCTCAATCGCAAGTTCATTTAAACTATTATAATGTCTACTCTCATGCAATAATCATATCCAACGGAAAGCTTTTCCCATCAGCTCAAACTGAAAAGCATGCATTGAAGTCTGGTAGGAGAAAATAAACTGTTTGAGGATGAAAGATTTTACTCTGTTTCTCCACGACTTTATATGCTTCTCATTTTTCTTCATGAGGCTCTGAACTCTCTAGAAATGGAGAAAAAGGGAGAAGAGAGAGGCAAGTGTTGAAAATGTCTTTGTGCACTTGTGATGATTTCTTTGGGGTTGCAATCGCAATAATTCTTTATTCTGTAGAAGACTTCTGTGTGTTTCTCAAATGTCTCTTACTGTGGTCTCCCAAATCCACCTTGATATGGAATGCCTCTCCTCCAGCTGGGAGCTTGTGTTTGCTCATTCAACTTCTCGACATTCAGTAGTTCACCTTCTGTTGGGGTTACAAACCTATTCTTGTCTTATATTTTAAAAGATCCAAGAAAATCTTGATTACATTCCTTTATGGGGACCTCATTTTTGCTCAGACAAAGGTAAAAGTTCAGTTTCAATCTTGCCTACTGACATGTCACAGCCATTTCAGTCTCTTGTCTATAGACTTTTAATGCAACACCTGCTAAAACGTCATGATTCACGTAAGCTACCCAGAGTTCCCCCTGTAAGTACTCTCATTTGGTTGACAGTAAGAAGAAGGCATCCTTCTACCTTTCCCACTGAAGTGGGGAAAGAAGTGATATAGAGGATAGAGACAATCTTTAAGAATGATTTGGTGAAATATTTTGTAACCACACTCTATAGTCTCAATAAGGATCATACAACTGATTTCCATATCCTTCTTTGCAAGGTCTGAATGGTCATCTACCAAAGCACAACACCTTGGAAATAAAGGTATATTTTGTCTTCTCTACAAACATTGATGTCTCAATGAAATAAAGAAAAATACCCATTTTAGCAGCTCAGGTTATCAGAGAGACAGCTTCATGAAGAGTTGTTCCTACCATCATTCTAGTTATCCTGAATAAGAGACCTATTGGTATTGGACTAGCCAGGAGGCATATAGTGACACAGCTGTGTTATCATTTTACCTTGGTGAATGTGTCCTGAACAGCTAAGCTTATAATTTGAGGCATATGAAGTAAAGAAATAATTAATAATCCTGGAGCAGTTGACATGAGTATAATACAAATTATGCAAAAATAAGTATCAAACCAAAGGAATTATGTTTATTGTTATTCCTCTTAAAAATATGTTAAATATTTTAATCATTATCAAATAATTTCTATTTGAATAAAATACTTTCCTGCTGTTTAGTACAAGTAATATAATGAAATGTCCTTTGGGGAGAGTTAGGGTACTTTGCAGATGCATAAATAATCTCAAAGATGATAAAAGTCTGTCTCAAGCTACAAAGCCAGTAAGAGGAAAAAGTAGGCCCAGTTAACTCTAAAGGCTATTAGCCCAACATCCTCTTCCCTACATCACAGACCATAATGTTTTACTAGCACAATTTCTTAAAACATGAAATTTTAATAGGAAAAAATAATTTACCAGCAAATATTAAATACAGATTTTTAAGAGGGCATCAAATTTTTCAGATACTGAAGATAGAATTAAACCTGCAACATTATATTCTAATCGATGTTATATGACCTGAAAGGAATTGACACTAACTACATACTAAGAAACAAAAGGTACTTGATTTCTAAGAAGGACACACATTTTATTAAATGTGCCTCAGTTTCAAATATAAAAGCTTTTTAAGTTTTGAGTTTAAAAGCTGAAATTACTTTGTCTAATATGTTTTCTTTTACTAATATGTTGAGATATTTTCTCTCTAGGGTGGTACTTCAGGTTTTATTTAAAAATTGCATATATTGTATAATCTTTTAAACCCCAATTTAAAAGAGTTTATTACTTCTCCATTTAGCACTTTTATAAAAGAAGTTGCATTCATTTCTCTATACTACACCATGATCCTAAATAAGAAGAAACTTTGCATTAAGAAAGCTTTGTAGCAGTCTTAATGCAAAATTAGAAAATGTTTGTTGTGACATTTAAAAATGGCATGAAGTGGTATTAATTAAGCAAAATAAAATTTGTTACATTTCAATTATAGAAATAATAGCCATTCCTGTTCACAGAAGTCAAATTGAGTTGAAGATATTTTGTTTTGATGGCTGTATTATGTTGCCTGGGCTACCATACGAATACAACAATTTGTGTGGTTTAAGTGACATGAATTTATTTTCTCACAGTTCTGGAGGCTGAAAGTCTAGGATCAAGGTGTTAGCAGGTATGATTTCTCACAAAGACTTGCTTGAAGACGACCATCTTCTTATGTCCTCACTTGGTCTTTACTCTGTGCAGAAGCTTCCCTGGTGTTTCTCTCTTCTTAGGAGGATACCCGTAATAACCAGTAATATTGGATTAAGGTCTCACTCTATAACCTCATTTAAACTTAATTGCCTCCTTAAAAATCTTATCTCCAAATACAGTCACATGCCTAGCTGCTAGGGCTTAGGGCTTCAACATATGCATTTTGCTGGGCACAAAATTCAGTCCATAACCACAATGAACTTTTTCTTCTTTCTTTTTTTTTCGCTGTCTTTACTTTAGATTGTGATATATTAAATTAATGAGTGATTTAATTTTTTATTATAATCCTAACATCGATCTTAAAAGGTGTTGGTTATCAAATTAATTAATTCAGCTTTTAAAAATCATTAATCAAGCTCTTATTCAGCATGTATTATATGTCTAACTCAGTATTGTTAATTATCATATCAATGTAAATGCACCTCAGTCACAGAATTTCTTAAATGGGAAAAAATATACAAATTGCTAAGAATTATATGAGACAAGATATGATGAGTAGAATATTGATGATACTGTTTTACTGCCTATAAAACTCAAAGAAGATAAAGATGAGCATAGTCAAGGGCCATTCAGAAAAGTATAACGTGGCAGATAAAATCATCAAATGATATTTCAAATCACCTGTAGTGTTTGGCTTGATGAATAAAATCTCATGATAAAAAAGATTCTCCGCCTTCTGCTATGTAAGGATGCTAAAAAGTGCATGTAAGTGTAGATGGCATTTATCTTATTGAATAAATGAAAAATTAAATTATTGGAAATTTTGAGGAATATAAAAGATTAAGGAAGGTTAAATTACACCTAGTTAATTATTTAAAATGTATTGAGGTTCAAATTTAGAACCCATCATACTGGAAAGATGGACATATCTATTCGGCTACTTGATGGTAGCTTTAGGATTGATTAAAATTAATGTTGAATTTTGTGGAGGAGAATACCCGCATAGAATATCATCTCATGCAGACATATATGGTTGTATGCTTTCTCCTAACAAGGATTTACCATAAATAAGAGTACTATTTTAAGAGACCTAAGTTTATATATTTGTTCAAAATTTGTAGGGAAATTTTTTACATTTGTAATACATAATTTTCAGTCAGGGGACACTTTTAATGCTAGTAGGTACATAGATATTTAAGGTGAAAATATTTAAATTTAAACTAATCATTATCCTTAAAGAATATTAGAAAAGTGGGTGCAACCTTAAAAAATAATCAGCATCTTATTCTTAAAATATTTGGATGCAAGCGGATAATTCTATAGTGTCTAAGATACCACTGTATACTTAAATGTATGCGATAAATATCTCTTTAATGAGTAAGTGGCTGATGAATAAAAAGTAAAATTGAGATAATTCAATGTAGTTGTTTTGGTCAGTAATCACAGTGAATATAATTTCATCAATGCAGATTCTAAAGAAAAATTTAAAACAGTTTGTTCATCACAGTATTAAAGAGTTATTTTTGAAATAATATGTAATATTCAGCTAATCCAGTTTTCAGGTTTTTGCCAGTTTTGGCACTATAACATATGAAACATAGATCTCATAACTATATCACTTAATCTGTAGGAAAGATATGATGTATACTGATGTAAAATTGACAGAATTACTTAAAAAATACATGTACTTATAAAATCTTTTTTTCATTTTACATTTTTGTTGAAGGTTATATTTTTAGAGGGGCAGTATAAAAAATGAAAAGATATCTTTTAATCTTTGAAACACACTATGTGGGCATAGTTTCTTTCCATTACATATGCCATGGACTTTTCTACTTATTAAACTTGGACTTGTGACAGTTGTGCAAATTTATAGGACTTTTATATATTCTAAAAAATGTTAATATGTAATGGTGTAAGGTGCAAAAATAGCAGAAACAGAGACAGACAACTGCTTTAACACAAATAGACATACATTTGTATTATCGTAAATATTAACTAATTCAAATATATTCAATATTGGTGTGATGTAAAAAAGAAGGTATCATAATAAATATATCAATAGTTACTTAATATCCATAATTTATTTTATAGTATTAAAGTGGTTTGATAAATTACATTATTTTGATTTTTATCTTACTATAATTTATTATTGTATATACAAAGAGAAGTATATTATTAGAATTCAGTAATAAACTACATAGAGAAACAAAATCCAGGATTCTTTAATTTTATGTGTCTTTAAGTTGATGATGGCATGAATAAAGATATGTGTGTGTATATATATATATATATATATATATATATATTTTTTTTTTTTTTTGAGATGGAGTCTCGCTCTGTCGCCCAGGCTGGAGTGCAGTGGCGTGGTCTAGGCTCACTGCAAGCTCCGCCTCCCGGGTTCACGCCATTCTCCTGCCTCAGCCTCCAAAGTAGCTGGGACTACAGGCGCCCACCACCACGCCCGGCTAATTTTTTGTATTTTTAGTAGAGACGGGGTTTCACCATGTTAGCCAGAATGGTCTCGATCTCTTGACCTCGTGATCCGCCCGCCTTGGCCTCCCAAAATGCTGGGATTACGATTACAGGCATGAGCCACCCCGCCCGGCCATGATGAATACTTTTTAAATTAAAAGTAGTAAATAAAATCTAAAGTTGTTTTTGAAAATTGTGTCATATTATTTGCACCCTGATGGGTTAAACCTATAGAGTTTAAAGAAAACAATACAAATAAGCTACAGACAATTTTGTTATGGCAGTAAAAAAAAAAAAAAAACAAATATACCACCGCAAAACCCATAGAAAAATGTGCTGATCTTACATAAACATTAGCAGTATCAGGCACAAAGCATGATGCCATAGCAAAATAAAATCAATAAAAGAAAAGAATGCTAGATGAATTTTAGTAGAAAATGACTCATATCAAAATTTAGTATCACTGCCGTGTTAAGGGTAATGATAAGGTACATTTCAATTCCCTCTACGGAACTTGGTGATTTTTAAAATTTATCATTAATGTACCCTCAAACAGTTTTAATGGTATATCAGCACGCCATTTAAAAAGTTTTATTATTTTAAAAAAATTATAGTGATTATTTTAAAAATAAATTATGCTAAACATATTTAGTTTTTTTATGTATGCTCATAACTAAACTGATTTTCTAAAGCAGAATATTCTTCTGGAGTTTCTTAAGCTTAATATTTTAATATGTATTTACATACAAATTGTGTTTTTATTTGTTTCAATTACAGGCATTTTTGAGTCAAAGCACATCATACGACATATTATATATTGAGTTAAAAAGCAGCCCATATTTCTAGCTGATGTTCTGTTACTCACTGTACACAAATAGTTAAGTGATACACTGTATAATCAAAGACATTGCTCAATAAAATTCTGTTAAGACAGAAATAATTGAACCAGTATTAAACTTTTGTAGATAGACCTTTACAAATACTATTATCAGTGAGCGAACTTATATTTTATAACTACCTTTTTAATGTAATTAGATATTACATAATGCTCAAAACAATCTACAATAGGATTTTGTTGTTGTTGTTTTAACAAATGAAGAAAATGAGACTAAAAGAGTCACAGCATGTTGTGTAGCCAAGTTTAAGCCTCAGCTTTTTATCTTCCTAAGTCTATATCAATAACTAGACTGCAATGACTCAGAGAAGCAGATGGTAACTGATGACAGATAACTATCAGTATTTCCATTTTGGAACATTTTAGATGGGAGGAAATGAGTATGGCATTAAAAAGCCTTCTTGCTTTTAACTGCACATTATTTCTTGAAGAAAAATTTGAAAATAATAAGTATATCAAGAGGAAATAGAATAAAGCTTTCTAGGCCAATTAGAGGCTATGCGTAAGAGAAAGACAATACGGAAATAAAGCACAGCAACACCTGTGAATCAGGCAATGAGGAGCTGAGAACTCAAAGGCTGACTGGCCTTCTACTACCCCAACGTGTGTGACATGCTCTATGTGATCCCTGATGGACTGCAATAATTGATGCTTGAGACTAAGTCAAAGAGAATGAGGAATTACAAAATGATGAATAGGATTAAAAAGCATTGTCTAAACTAAGCTGAGAGAAAGTCTGTCTTAAATCTTAAAAACCTCATTATGGATTAAAACTCAGGAATGTTACGTATGTTGGAAAGACTACATATCTTAATGCCGATGAAAATGGAACTGCAATGGCTAAAATATCATTTCTGAGCTAGAGGTTTGATTGTCAGAAAGAATGACTTGTGAATTCAGATTTTGCTCCAAGTGATGAAGAGCTAGTGATAAAGTACATAATAAATACTAGTATGGAGTCACTAATCCATAAATTAATTTTTGTTGGATTTATCCTGAAAACATTATTTATTCAGACATATCCATATATACATTCAAATATATTTGTGTGTGTATATATAAATGATATATGCAATATATATTTAAATATAGAATATATTTCCTTAGAAAACTAAATCAAATCTGAAAATTAATGTCTAAAATATCTAAATGTGCTCACATTACAGTATAACAAATTCACTTCTAGTATATCTACATATGATTTAAAATGAAATTTATTTTATCCTATTCCAATAGAAATGTATTCTCAAGTTAAGTTTAACTTCCTCTACCTTTTTCTTACTTAGCAATGACAGCAAGTAGCTTATCTAGTATTTAACAACAAAATAATATAGAAAACACTCTAATCAGTGTGCAAATAATTGCTCCAGTGTTTACTATGTTATATGTTAAAATTCTGTCAAAACATCATTTTCTTTTTCTTAAGAAGAGGAAATACAGTGAGAGAGATGTCCATACAACATCATTCGAGGCATAACAAAAGTCTACGCAGTAAATTTGACATAAAGTATTTGATTTAGAAAATAGGAAAAAATAAGGGAAATTTTTATATACATTTGAACCTACTAGGGATCCAATTTCCAGTATATAATGTTTACCAAGTATCGTTTGTCTGACTTTATTATGTTAACATTTTAAAGACTTAACTGTTTTCCTGAACTGGGTAGGGGAGGAGTTAAGACAGAGAGACAGAGAGAAACAAGGAGAAAGATAGAGATAGAGATATTTAATTGGGATTTGCCTAAATAGTTGAAATAAGACAAGGGTCAATGTTTTTCAGATTACTATTAATTTGGGTTCCTTTGTTTGCAAATTCCAAAATATTTTGCAATTGGGTAAAATTGATAATGAGACTTACCACGGTATACAAGAATTTTTGTTTTATTTTAGAAATTTTCCAAAGGAAATTTTCTTATGAAAAAATATAATTTATATTTTAAAATAATACTCTATTTAAAAAAAATCTATTTGCAAAGAATCTACTTGAAAAAATAATATATTTTCAAAAATCTATTTAAATAATATTTGATCCATTTAAGATTTTGTAATTTACTGATATTTGATGAAACATTTAAGATTTAGTGCATTTTGTATTGAGTTACAAATAGAATTGTTTAGTTTTTATTTATTTCATTGATATGCCTTTTTCTATATTATTTCTTATTTGAAAGAATGAATTATTTTTATGTTTTTTTAACTTTTGGAGTTAAAGACTGCCATCACAGTTTGGAAATTTCTTTGTTTCTGAAAAATGTCCTCCAACTGAAAATTTTCCCTTTAGCTGTTTCTGACATGTTACAGTAATTCAGTTCTAAGTAAGCCATAATTTCTTCAAAGTTTTTTTCTTTTGCTTGTGGGATGTTTACTATAGTTTTCCAAAACAAGTTATTTTTAATACCCCATTTTTTAGTGAGCTCTAATTTCATTTTATTCCATATAGGTAATTTATTATAAGTTATGTTGTTTAATATTTTAAGGTTCTTTGATGGTCCAGTGTATGTTTATTTTGATTATTTCATATCAAAATAATAAATTATTTCCCTTCAAATCCTGCTAAATATTAACCCATGATTTTATTTTAACTAGTGTTGCTCTTAAGATCAATTCTTAATTTTTAATAAATAGCTTTGTATTTCCAGAAGCCTTCAGAAATACGTCTTAATGCTTTAAAATTTACTTTTCTAAGTAGCTATTTGGATTTGCTTCTCATATAGTTTATTTAATACTCTATGTACCCTTTCAAGCTGATATTTTATACATTTTAAAAATTGGATTTGGTGAATCCAATTTTTGGATTTTTTGAATTTTTGAATTTTTGGTGAATTTTTATCAAATTTTGCCAGAATATAAATCATTTGTGGAGTAACATAAATATACTTTTAGATTTGCAGGGATGTGCATGAGTACCCTCCCCTAATTCTTCTGGGACAAACTCCTTAAGGCTCCATTATTTTTGTTTATTTGTTTTAAATCAAATAAATGAAATACATGACTTCCAGGAAACAGATGAGAAAACTCAGGAGGGCAAGGGAATAAAATCTGAGAGTGCAAATTCAGCTTCAGGCTTAGAAAGCAAAGGAACAAATCAAAACAGGGACCCAGAGAATATAGAGTACAAGAATCATGTGTCCAAGAAGGAAATGCACTTGTGCAACTGCTAACATGATATTTAAAAGTGTTAGATTATTTCAGATATTACTTTCATTGCTATACTTATTGTATATAAGTGTGTGTGTGTTTACCATGTAACAGCCCATTTAGAACAAACAGAAATCCAGGTATCTGTTTATCCCAGTGTTTCGAAAATGAAACTAGCAAAACATAATGAATTGAGTACCACCTCTCCCTTCGAACCAACAAAATTCCTTGTTTTCAAGATTTTAATTAAAACACTTTAACATCTAACACACATATTAAATGTTGAAATATTTAAATGGTTAATTTGGAAAATTATTTATGCCAATGATTGTCCTGACTTCAATGTAGATCATCGACACTCAATACTGTGTATATTTTATGTTTACAGTAGATCTAAATGCATAATTGTTGCTTTCTTTGTAGGTCACAGACTTCAATAGATGATATTGCCTCAAAATTTTTTCATATTGAAAAAATGAATATGAATAAGTGGATAAACATTGCATGCTACTACTTGGAGAAATATATGCAACAATATCTTGCATTAAGCTTTTATTTTAGAAAGTCACAATTTCTGTAGTCTCAACTTTTTGATAGGTCAATAAAAAGTCATGATTGTAGAATATTGAGTTTTAAAGCTAATGCTCTCTCTAATGTATATAATTGAAAGCAAGTCTTTTGGAAATGGACCAGCTCCTTTTTATTTTCAGTTCTGTGCTTGAAATTTTTTATACTTTATTCTTAAGGCCATAATTGGGGTGAAAAGTTAGGATCTGAAAAAATTTCTGATGGTGTCTTTTTTATTTCTGACATTTTGTAGTTAAATGATAAATGATGAAAAATTCAGAAGAAGAGATTTTTGTCATGGGTCCAAGGCTTTGGAACACTCTGTTCCTCCTCCAGTTCTGACAAAGGCTTAATATAAGAACATTTAGAAAAAATTCAAAAGATAGCTCTTCATTGGTATTCTGTCTTTACCAAACTAATTCTTATTTTGACTTAGGCTTTGCCTCTATAAAGACATAGAATCTAAAAACCTAATTTATATGAAAATTAAATGTAGAGTCATTTACAATGATATATGCATAATGTATATATTATATGCATATATTTATATAATAAAATAAGATATGCCTAAATACTTATGTGATTCTACTATACTTCTCATTTCCCTGGAGTTGATTGATTCTAGATTTTTAAAATAGAAGGTGTTTATTCTTTACTTCGATATTGTTATGAATACCAACTGATTTATTTATGGATCACACTTATTAACAAGCAAACCACACAGCTGGGAAGATGATCATTAAAACTGTTTTTCACTTTTTTTTCGAATTTGGATCAAACTATATGTTTTACATATATTCTTTTGTTTTGGACAAAAGACAGTTGAAAAATATGGTCCAATGTTATATATGCACAGTACTCATTTCTTTTTGCTTAAATGACAATGATCTCAATGAAGAAACAACACAAACAAAAAGCAAACTGTTTATCGTGCTATAAGAGACAGTGTAGAATAATACAATGGTTGTAGGTTCTTGAAACAGATGTCTAAGTACAAATCTCAGCTGCATCACTTACTAGGGGTGACTTTGAGTCATGCAGCTAACTTTTCTATGCCTCAATGACCTCCAAAGTAAAGCAAAGATAATAGTATCCACCTCAAAAGAATGAAGTTAAGAGTAAACATGTTCATTTCTGCGAAGTTAGTTGCAAAAGTTTTATATAAACTGAACACACAATAAATGTTAACTTTTATTACCTTATTAATATTAAGCAGACTTCTTATTCACTCATTTCTACAGTCCACAAATATAAATTAAACTTCAATAATATTAAGCATATTTTTGGTGCTGAATACATAAATTCGTTTCAGTCAAGGTTCTTTTTTTCTAGGTGAAATTTACTCTAGCTAAATAAATTAGAAAAATACATGTATTGAATATATAGAAAGTGGATCAAAGTATTTGAAGACTAATGAAATGGCAAGTATTTTAGAGGTATCTGAAACAACAGTAAAGGTTTGAGGAGTAGTAGATGGAAACACTGCTGCTGAGGTTATAGCTACAAATTTCTACTGATGCTACTACTCTGGATGCCAGTGCTGTGGAAATGCCAGTCTTTTTGGTAGGATTGTAACAACATCAACAACAAGAACAAAACTCTAACACTTTATGTTAATTACACATCAAATTTCACAGTTTCAGGATGGGACATTTCATTTGATGAGATAATAAACCTAAGATTAACAACCAAGTTATTGGGAGAATACCACTCTTTTCCTCAAGAGCTTATGGTTTGATTGGAAAAGAAAGAGAAATAAAACTATAATTTGTAAGAATGTGGTAAAGATATAACTATAGAAGTCAGAATTCATTTGTGGGCATCAAGAATAAATAAAATAGTTCTGAGACAAAGAAGAGTTTCATATGAAGCAAATTTGGAGCAGATTACCTCTTATAGTATTTGGAGGAAATGTGCTCAAAAGTATTATATGCCAAAGAGAAAGAGTGATCCAAGAAAGAGGTAGATGAAAATAATGCTGTGTATACATAAAATCAAATATAATAATTTTCGCTGGATCCCAATGTGGAGAGTTTGTGTGTGTGTGTGTGTGTGTTTGTTAAGGACAGGTGTGTGTGTATGATGACAATTGAGCTTGAGGTGTTAGTGTTCAAGTCCAGAAATTTATCAGTTTTATGTGTAAAAACAAGACATTTAGACCTTATCCTAGAGTATAGTGCAAGTATTATGTTGTTGAAGATTTTACAGATGAAACACATGAACTTTTATAGGAACATTAAGTTAATAATTAAAAAACCCATAAAAGCAATGGGAGTTAGATTAATATTCTAGTCAAGAAATGACATATGTCCATGAAAAGACAGTAAGTGTGACACCTTTAAGAAAATATTTAGTAAAAATACATTGAGATATTATAAATACTGTACAAATACTGTATTAACAGCTTTATGCTAGTAGTCAGAGAAATGCATTCATAGCTTTGAAATTTAGAATTGTATAGAATGGTAGTGTGACTTACCAAGAGATAACCAGGCTGAAATGCATGTTTGGAAGGAATTTCGGCTTGGAATATTTTGACTTGAAGTATTTGTTTGGAATGTCAAGTTGCACATATAAACCTGAAAAAGAGAAAAAACCTTTTCCTTAGAAATATATAATGCATGGAAAAATAGTATTTAAAATATCATTAAAACCCCCAATTTGGTGAAACCAACGAGAAGTCCACTGGTAAGTGAGTCCAAGGAATGCTGTCGTCATGGGTCAACCTCCCTCCTGTCTCAGCTGCTGCTGACTTAGTGCAGGATAAAGAAATGTTGAAAATGGTTTAGGGTTGAGGGCAGGAATAAAATGAACTTGCCCAGCAAAGTATTTAACTAACTTCTATGACATCCAGGTGAATTACTGTCTATAAAACCCCAATAACCTAGTATCCAAGGGTAAAATTTCAGAGTAATCTAAGATTCTCATTTTATTTATTGTCTACCATATCTGTGTACATATTATTTTACTCCATGTTCAGAACATATCTATAAGCAGACACTTTTTGACATCTTTATTGTAAACACTGATTTTGAGGAATCATAGTTTTTTTTTCTGTGTTGGTAATTGAACATTCTGATGGTTTTGCTAGCCACCACTCTTGCCAGTAGAACATCATGGTTGCTCCCTCTTCCACCCCCAGGGCAATTCGGAGCACATCTTTTACATTTTTAAAATCCTTCAGTGGCTTTCAATCACATCTAAAGTAAAAGCCAATTTCTTTATCAAGTCTCATTATTTGTTTATTTATTTACTTATGGTGTTCTCCTTGCTGTCTACTTCTACAACATTACCCTTTACCATTCTCCTCCTGTTAACTCTAGTCCAGTCACACTCTGCTTCTTTTAGTTTTTCAAGGATGCCGATTTCTTTTTGTCTTAAGTTCTCTAAACATGCTGAGTTCTTAATTCCATGAATTAATTCCCCATATTTTCACATAGGTCACTCCTCAATCAGCTGGTCCCTGTTCAAAAGTCTCTTTCTCTAGAATGCTCTCTAAACCCTCTACAAAAACGTTCCCATCCCATTCCATTTACTCCCTTTTTTTTGACCCTGATTATTATCTACATAGGCGATCACTACATGAAATATCAGGTATGTATATGTTTACTTGTTTAATATTTGTGTACTGTTTTCATAGTTCACTGCTGTTTCACCAACACTTGCAACAGTGTTTGGGATATATTAGCTACTCTTTAAATAATTAATAACCTGAGTGTACAAAAACTATCACAGACGCTTTACTGGCACATGGGTAGAAGCTAATCCAGTGATATTATCTGAAAATTAAACATACATAGACATATCTTTATTTAAGTATTTGTGTGACATATTTTAAATATGAATTAGAAAGTAACTGTAGCAGAACATGTGCTTGCTCTGATCTTACTCTCTTGTAGGACTGATCACATAATTAGTTTTGGGCTTGCTAAACATTTTGCCATTCTTTCTGCTTACATTGTGAATTCCTTAAGCTATGGACTAGGGAAGATATACTTATACACTCACATACACACATATGTATTTATATCTGTGGGGCATATATGTTATAATCAAATACATTAATATTGTAATCAAATATTAACTGTAGAACACTGGGGTTCTGAGACATAAACTTTTCAATTCAAAAAATAAATAAAATACCCAGGATTTTATCTCACATCTTTCTGGTAAAAAACTGGTAATAATTTCCATTAAGATATGTTAATGATGACCTATTCTTTCTCCATGGAGTGTTTATAATTTAATAGTTTATGTAATTCTCAAGAAGTATATATATTATAAGAATATAAAGTGATAATTTTATACACTGGCCATTAAGTTAGTCTGATCTTGGCAGAGCAGTATTTAAACACCCTAAGATTGTTCTGTCATAAGCACCTTGCGCACAATTGCACATTTAATGCATCTCATTTGTCTTAAACTGCAGTTAGACAGCATCCTGACCTTCTGTTCACAGGGTGGATAATTGACTAAGTGAGTTGAGAAAACCATTTGTTTGACCTCTGTGGGAGGGAGTTCCATCAGTCTTCTGGCACCAGAAGGAAGAAAGTTATGATTAAATAACCACAAACTCCAACAGCTCTGAACACATTCCTCTCACTCACGTGCTGTAGTTTTGTGCCAATGAGTCTGCTCCTGGCCAGGCACATTCTGTTCCCCTCTCCAGCCATAACTCAATCTTGTAACGGGTGCCACCATCCTCATAACTGACTCTGGCTCAGAATCCAGTGTCTGCTTTCCTTCTGGCACAGAAACCTCCTTCT
Source organism: Homo sapiens (assembly GCF_000001405.40). Lineage (NCBI taxonomy): Eukaryota > Metazoa > Chordata > Mammalia > Primates > Hominidae > Homo > Homo sapiens. The sequence continues at coordinate 83,065,501 of NC_000013.11, forward strand.
CATTCCAACCTCATTCCCTTTCTATGCCTAGCCTCTGCTTTTATGTTGGTACCCTTCCAAATGTCAATTCCAATCCTTTTTCCTATTCTGAGTTACATTTTCCTCATTGATCTTCTGATTCCAAGGCTCTGATTATTTCTTCTTCTTTTCTTTCCTCTCTTCTTTCTCATTAGTCTAATTAGTATCTATTTTATGTTTGTTTATATTATTTGCCTATATCCAAAAATTTAATGTTTCTAAATACTAAAATCCACTACAACCTTTATTGATAAAATACTTGCAGGTCATATAAAAAAGAGTCACTTTTTTGGTATTTCTATATGATATATACTAGCAGATTACCTCAAGCATCTCAGTATAGAACCTAAAAAAGATATGATAGCACATTATGTTAAGTAAATTTTTCTGTGTAAGTTTAACATAAGAAGGGCATTTAACTCAAGTTACATCTTGAGTCAAAGTTTTCAAAATATATAGCAGTTTAAGGGAAGCTGAGGAGTCTCATTTTTGCCTCCAATTAATGTAGATTAATTAGAAGTATATACCAATTTAATAAAAATATTTTAGGAAAGACTGCATTAATGCTGGAATTTCTGATCTGAATTTTCCAACTGTAAGTATACACTCTTACACTAGACATTTACAATCACATTCTTACACAGAAACACACACACACACAACTTCAAAACTATTTAATCTGATTTTTTCACTCTATGACCTTTAATCATCATTAGTCCACTTGGGGCTGAGGCCTACTTATTTAACAAATGTTTATTACCTGGTCACTTTTTCACTCCTGGAGGGGACCGCCTTCCTTGGAAATTACATATTTTAGTTCTTCTATCCCCAAAATCCATTCTTCAAATGGCTCTGATTTAGTTTTTTTCTGTTTATATTGTTCCATTTTGTATTTTCTATTTATACTGTTTAATGTCTTGCTCTCAGAAGTCTAGGATATTTTCTTGGTCTTGATATATTTTTCATATAAATATAGGTAAGAATTTCAAGTTATATTATTATATTTCAGATATAGTATAGTGCATACACCCCTAAATATGTAAACATATGTCAATATAGAAGGATTGACATTGTTGTGCAGTGAAGAGAACAGCAATGAGAAAATAAGAATAAAAATTAAGTGGAAGGAAAAAATGGAAATGGAGATTACAAGAAAAATACAGTTTGTTTATGGTGGGAGAAAATAGTAGTTATATGATAATGCTATGTTCCAAAATGGTAATCTAAAAGAGATATGTAGAGACAGTTTGTATTTTGGAGAGAGGCACAGAGAAAGAACAAAATTTAACATAATGCTAAAATTAGGGTATTCGATTGCTGGTCCTTAACTCAATTTTTTAAATGTAATATTCTCAATTACAATACACTTTCACAGTATTTATGCAATTAAAACTGTAATAGTAATATGGTTTAATCTCCGCTACCTTTGTGGCTTCATTACCCCTCAATCTGCTTTAAGACAAGCACTCTTTAAAAGCTCTTATCTTCAAAGCAGTAATTAAAGCAAAGTGGAGAATGGAGAAGCATTTATTTTGTAAAATACAGAAATATTTTCACGTTATAAATATTTTACTAGACAAAGAAGTTCAAGTAACTGACAATCTGTCACAAATTAATATGTTTGGTTATTTTTGGATAACAGCATCTAAAATATGTATATCAAAAATCAAAGTGGCCTACGTTTTCCAGGTATCTTTAAAGCTGTTATGTTTGCACAGTGACAAAACATGTATTAAGACAGTACTTTCTTGGTATATGGTGATATAGATAGATAGATGATAGACAGATAGATAGATAGATAGATAGATAGATAGATAGATAGATAGAAATGTATTAGGTAAATTCATTTAACCATGTATTTACCATACATGGTTACATGGCAAAATAATAGATGAAGAAAATTAAAATCTAAGCAGATTGACAATTGAAATTGAAAGCTGTATTCTTTGTAAAAAGAATAAATGTCATTGCTTCTTTTTATGTAATGTGATACTAAGTACAAAATTAGTCATATGCAGCAACTAAACATCTTATTAGCCTCTAATACATATTACATAAACAAATACTGTTTAATCAGGCTTCGCAAGTGACAAATCTGACTGCTATGTTATCTAACAACAAACATTCTGCTATTCACACAGATAGTAGGTTTCAAATATTATTAAAACATGACAGTCCTTTGTTTTTGTTAATTTAATTCTTCCTAAACACAATACATAAAATATATAAAAGCAGTATTTTTCTGCCTGGTCAAGAAAATGAAGGAGAAAAGAGGAAGTGGGAAGTTTAACAAACATATGTTATTACAAAAAACACATTTCATTAAACACCTCCCTAAAATTTCAGGTGGTATTTTTTGCTTTTATTTTTTCCCTCGACCCCCACTTAACATAAAATAGGGTGAAATTGTTCTCAATCATCTGAAAACCCTGCATGACTTAACCAGTAAATCAACACAAATAAAGAAAAAAAACAGGTCACAGAATCAAAAATTGTGTATGATATCTCATTAATAAACTATAAGAAATAAGCAAAATTTCCTTTGGCCATTCAGATTAATAATATCTCCCTTGTCTTATAATGATTTGAGATCGTATGAATATTCGGAAAGACTGTTGAAGGATGGATAACTTTGACAAGCTATATAATACCATTAAGTTAAATAATCTCACCTGTTAAGTTAAAATGCAGAGTCCTAAGTATTATATAACAACTCAAGAAATAAAATAAAGACAGAGGACATTCAGTTAAAAATCTTACTGCCTTTGGCTAAAAGGCAAAATGCATGTTGATAATTAATATTACCCTACCCTTTTCAAAGTTACTGTACAGCTATACCTATACACTAATTAGTAATTGGTAAGAATGAGCTGCCTCAAGCTGACTATAAACTTCAGTAATTTGTGCTCAGAAAAGGTAGATACAATTAAAAAACAATGCAAATGAAGACTCCCATGAATTTTGCAGATGAGGGAAATACTTGCCTAATACCTCTTAACGTTTGGGGGAAGAGATATACTTGAGACTTCAATACAGTATATTTAAGACTGAGTAAAATAAAATGTACATGATAGACAGTAAGCTGATATCCATATTGTAAATAATAAGTTATTTTAGGCAGAAATTTTAAACAAATTCATCATGATTTGAATGATGGTATGCGTGACAGCCATCATCACAGGATGGCCTTGAGTTGTATGTAGTTGTTTAAATTATTTCAGAGAAAAACAACAACAACAACAACATGTGTTTCCTATTACAACCTATGGAGTTGCAGTTAGAGACAAGCTCAAAAGCTGAACTGGTTGGTCCATTTTGAAATTTCCTCATTATTGTCATATTTCATGAAAATTGCCTCATACATATAAATAGAAGTAAGTCTAATTTCCTATTTTCTGGCTAGGGGAACTCGATGTCTTTCGAAAATATAGACGCTAGCCCTCCTTGAGACATTATAATTCAGTTATTCATGTACAGTTGGCTAAAAACACATACCAATCTTTTTGCTTAAGAACCACACAAGGGAAAAAATGTGGAAATTTAGTAAAACTCAATTTTAAGTGTCCATGAATGACAGAGCACATTCACACTCATTCATTTACATATTTTCTATGCCTGTTTTTTATGCTAAATCTGTAGAGTTTAGTAATGGCAAAAGATACCGTATGGTCCACAAGGCCTAAAATAGCTACTATCTGTACCTTACAGAAAAAAAAAAAGAGCTGACTCTTTTTCTGACCTCTGGTCTAAGTCAAGTCTGTCCCACAAGACACAAGGTACAATGCTTTTTCCACATGAGGTCAGGAAGAATCTCAAAACTACAGAGTCAGGCCTCACATTATCAATAGGACCATCCTAGCCTTCTGCAAGCTTTCAGGCTTTAGTCAAAGCTGGCACATTTTCAGTGAATCCTTAGTCCACTGGTGGTCTGCAAGAGCCAGAGCTCTCATGTAGACCCCAGCACCACATGAATCCCAGGAATTACCAATTTCTGAAATAGAGAAAAGGGAAAAGGGAAAGGCATTGGGTTTGGGCCAAATTCTTAGTATATTCCACTTTTTCCGGTATGAGAAATGTGTATCCTAGTCTCCATTATCTTTAGGAATATCGCCATTACTGTGAACACAATGTGATACCTGAATTTCTCTAATAATTCAATTACTTTATCTGATTCTGGACCCTAACCCTATACTCTGTATTCAATGTTTTACCCTGTCCCCAAGAAGATATTTGCTAGCAGTAACTAAGAAGAGCTAATGTATTTTGAAAGATTACAATGTGATACACACTTTTCTAAGTTCTTTATATAGTACCTCAATTAATCTTCACAAAGGCATTTTAAGGTAGTTTTATTATTATTCCAGAAGATAATATAAACTTAAATGCTTTAAGTAAATTCAAGCAGTACAGTTGTGGCAGTACTTGCTTTAAACTTAAAATTGTATAACCTTGGAATTATTTTCTTTTGAGTTATTACTCAACTTTCATGTAGTAGACAATATTTTTCTGTATTTGCAATGGGTATTATACTGACTAATAAGCATGAGATTGCAAACTATGCATACTATAATACTATCATCCTACATATTACTATATTTTCCAAAAGTATTCAAATATGTCTCCAAATTATAATTTATAACTATTCAAATTTACAAGTTAAAATAATAATTGTTAAATATTGAAGGTAATAATATTAAAGACCTTTAAAATATAAATAAAATGTTACTTTAGATAAACTATTTTTTCTTAACATTTATTTTAGGTTCTGGGGTACATGTGCAGGTTTGTATTACAGGTAAACTCATGTCATGGGAGTTTGTTGTACAGATTATTTCATCACCCAGGTATTGAACCTAGTACCCAATGGCTGTTTTTTTCTGCTCCTCTCCTTCCTCCCATCCTCCACCCTCAAGTAGGCCCTGCTGTTTATTGTTCCCTTCTTTGTGTTCATGAGTTCTTATCATTTAGTTTCCATGTTTTCTTAACATATCTGGCATATTCTTAAATATTAAGGATTTTTTTTCCCTTTACTTTCTCTATTATTAATGTTCTTTGTCAAAGTAAGAAAGTCAAACTTTTATATTTCTTTTAAATTCACCTTCAGTTTATTCTAGGAAAAATCTTACTGGATTCTCTTACAGTCCTCTGAGGTTTTTTAAATGCTTCAATTATTTACATAATTGAACTAACTATGGCTGAACTAATTTACATTCCCACCAATGATGTGTAAGCATTACTTTTTCTCTGCAGCCTCACCAAAATCTGTTATTTTTTTTTATTTTTATAATAGTCATTCTGATTGGTGTAAAATGGTATATCCTTGTGGTTATGATTTCCATTTCTCTGATGATTAGTGATGTTGAGGATTTTTTCATATGTTTGTTGGCTACTTGTATGCCTTTGTTTGAGGAGTATTTGTTCATGTCCTTTGCCCATTTCTTAATAAGATTATTTGTTTCTTCTTTGTTGAATCATTTAAGTTCGCTGTAAATTTTGAATATTAGATCTTTTCAGATGAATAATTGGTAAATATTTTCTCACATTCTATAAATTGTTTGTTTACTCTGTTCACAGTTTCTTTTACTGTGTAGAAACTTAAGTTTAATTAGGTCCTACTTGTCCCTTTTCGTTTTTGTTACAGTTGCTTTCGGGCACTTAGCCAAAAATTATTTGACAAGGTCAATGTTATAAAGGGTATTTCCTGTACCCTTCTAGGGTATAGGATTTGTATTGTTTGAGGTCTTACATTTAAATCTTTAATTCATCTTGAGTTAATTTTTGTAAATGGTAAAAGATAGGAGTCATTTTATTCTTTTGCATATGGTTATCCAGCTTTCCCAGCACTATTTATTGAATAGGGAGTTCTTTTCCTGTTGCTTGTGCTTGCCAACTTTTTCAAAGATCAGGTGGTTGTAAGTGTATGGCTTTATTTCTGTTGCTTTTTTTTTTTCCATTCGTCTATGTATCTGTTTTTGTACCAGTACTATGCTATTTGGGTTACTGTAGCCTTATAGTATAGTTTGAACTTTGGTAGTGTGACGTATCCAGCTTTGTTATTTTTGCTTAGGACGGCCTTGGCGATTTGGGCTCTTTTTTGGGTGCATATAAATTTTTGAATAGCTTTTCCTAATTCTGTAAAAAATGATACATGTAGCTTGATAAGAATAGCACTGAGTCCACAGATTGCTTTGGGCACTATAGCATTTTAACAATATTTGCCCAGAGTCACCCCACAGCCCCACTGGGACATAAGCCATGCACCCTCTACCACCACCCTATAAGAATTCTTTCACCCATGGTTCCAAGGCCTATGTGCTGGTATGCTTTTGCTGGCAGCCCCTGATAAAGTGCTGTTGCCAGCAGACTGGGGGTACCTTGGATCTGACTAGCACAGCTGGTGCTCAACCTTAAGGGGTCAGAGAACAAAGCAGCATGCCTGGTCTCAGTTCCCCAAGGTTACAGCATGTAGCCTAGGAATGCTGGGCTGAGTCTTAGCACTCTGAAAGTATCCAGAAATGAAGCCAATTGACTGAACCCAACTTATACCACAGTCAAACCCTCAAGGGCATGAAAGAACATTAAAACTAAAAAACTAAAAGCCCCATCCAAAGAACAGCAACTTCAAAGGTTAATGAAATTCTTGCCAGCACAAATGTTCTGGCAACTCTAAAATCCAGAGTGCCCCCTTACCTGCCAACAAGCCTGCTAAATCCCTCCATAGCGAGGGGTGACACTTGCTATGTTTTAGCAAAGAAACTGGAGGCATTTTGACCCAGCCCTAGAGATCTGTGAAACTTTGAATTTGAGAGAGATAATTTAGGTTATCTGGCAGAAGAAATTTCTAAGCAGCCAAGCGTTCAAGAGGAAGTAGAGCACAAAACTTTGGAAAATTGGATGAGGAGAAAAGCAAGCCTGCTGCAAAAAATTGCATAAGTAACAAGGAGCCAAATGTTAATCACCAAGACAATGGGGAAAATGTCTCCAAGGCATGTCAGAGATCTTCCTGGAGGCCCCTCCCATCACAAGCCCAGAGACATAAGAGGAAAAAATGGTTTCCAGGCCTGGGCTCAGGAATCACCTGCTCTGTGCAGCCTCAAGATGCGGTGCCCTTCATCCCAGCTGTCTCAGCTGCAGCCATGGCTAAGAGGGGGCCAACGTACAGCTCAGGCCATTGCTTCAGAGGGTGCCAGTCCCAAGCCTTAGTGGCTTTCACGTGTTGTTGGGCCTACAGATAAACGGAAGTCAATAATTGAGGTGTGGAAACCTATGACTAGATTACAGAGGATGTATGGAAATGTCTGTATGTCCAGGCAGAAGTTTGCTGCAGGGATAGAGCCGTTATAGAGACTCTACTAGGGCAGTGCAGAAGAGAAAGGTGGGGTTGGAGCCCCCAGAGTCCCCACTGGGGCACTGCCTACTAGATCTGTGAGAAGAGGGCCACCTTCCTCCAGACCCAGGATGGTAGATCCACTGACAGCTTACACGATGCACCTGGAAAAACCACACACATTCAATGCCAGCCCATGAAAGCAGCCAGGAGAAGGGCTGTATCCTGCAAAGCAACAGGGAGAAAGCTGCCCAAGGCCATGCGAGCACACCTCTTGCATCAGTGTGACCTGGATGTGAGACATGGAGTCAAAGGAGGTCATTTTAGAACTTGAAAGCTCATAGGCAGGAGAAACTTGCCTGTCTCAAATGAGATTTTGGACTTGGACTTTTGAATTAATGCTGGAATTAACTAAGACTTTGGGGAACTGTTGGGAAGGCATGATTGTTTTGAAATTTTAGGACATGAAATTTGGGAGGGGCCAGGGATGAAATGATGTGGTTTGGCTGTTCCCCAATCCAGATCTCATCTTGAATTGTAGTTCTCATAATCCCCACATGTTGTGGGAGGCCCGGTGGGAGGTAATTGAATCATGAAGTTGGTTATTTCCATGTTGTTCTCATGATAGTGAGTGAATTCTCATGAGATCTGATGGTTTTATAAGGGGCTTTTCCTCCCCTTCTATCTGCACTTCTCCTTGCTGCTGCCATGTGAAGAAGGACATGTTTGTGTCATTTTCTGCCATGATTGTAAGTTTCCTGAGGCCTCCCCAGCCATGCTGGACTGTGAGTCAATTAAACTTCTTCCTTTAAATATTACTCAGTCTTGGGTATGTCCTTATAATAGAATGAGAACAGGCTAATACAGGCATCAAGAACATAAATTGAGGAAAGGACCAGTTATTTAATAAATGGTGCTGGGGCAACTGGATATCAATAAGCAGAAGGAAAAAACTACACCCTGTCTCTTGTGAGGGACCTCATGAGAGGGACCTTGTGAGAGGTGATAGATCACTGGGGCAGTTCCCCCATGCTGTTCTCATGATAGTGAGTTAGTTCTCATGTGATATGATGGTTTTATAAGGGGCTTTTCCCTCTTTTGCTTTGCAGTTCTCCTTACTGCTGCCATGTGAAGAAGGATGTGATTGCTTTCCTTTCTGCCATGATTATAATTTTCCTGAGGCCTCCCCAGCCATGCAGAACTGTGAGTCAATTAAACCTCATTTCTTTATAAATTACCCAGTCTTGGGTATTTCTTCATACCAGCATGAGAATGGACTAATACACAAGGAATCTAAGGAATCCAATAAAGCAATCCAAGAGCTAAAGGATAAAATAGACATTTTAAGAAAGAACCTACTGAGCTTCAGGAATGAAAAATTTACTACAAGAATTTTATAATTTAGTTGGAAGCCATCATAGCAGAATAGACCAGCTGAAGAAAGAATCTCAGATCTAAAAAACTGGGTCATTGAATCTACTCAGTCTGACAACAATAAGAAAAAAAAATTTTTAAAATGAAGAAATCCTCTGAGAAATATGAGATTAAGTTAGGAGATTAAATTTATGATTTATTGACATTCCTGAGAGAGAAAGAATGAGAACACGAGATTTGGAAAACATATTTGAGGATCTGGTCCAAAAAAAGGTCCCCAATCTTGCCAGAAATTGTCAATCTTGACATGCAAATTCAAGAAAAAATGGAGAACCCTTGTGAGACAGTATCCAACATGGCCATCCCAACATCACACAGTTATCATATTAAACAAGGACAGCATGAAATAAAAAATCTTAGAGACAACTAGAGAGAAGGGGCAGGTCACATAAAAAGGGAACCAAATCAGGCTAGATGCAAACCTCTCAGCAGAAATCTTACAAGCCAGAAGAGACTGGGGCTTATTTGCAGCATCCTTAAAGAAAAGACATTCCAATGTAGAATTTCATATCCCATCAAACTAAACTTCATACATGACTGGGAGTAAAATCTTTCTGAGATAAGCAAAGGCTAAAGGAATTTGATATAACTAGATCAGCTTTACCAGAGGTCTTTGAGGGAGTGCTAAACAGGGAAATGAAAAAATGACACATGCTACCACAAAAATACACTTAATTGTAGAGCCCACAGACACTATAAAGCAACTACACAATCAAGACTACAAAACTACTAGATAACAACATGATGACAAATCAAAATCTCACATGTTATTTTCAAGCTTGAATATAAGTGGTCTAAATGTCCCACTTAAAGGCATAGAGTGACAAGCTGGATTAAAAGACATGACCTAAATATTTGTTGTCTTCAAGAGACCCATGTCATATGTAATGATACCCACAGGCTCAAAGGAAAGGGATGGAGAAAGACCTGCCATACAAAGGGAAAACAAAATGGAGCAGGGTTTGCTACTTTTATATCAGATAAAACAGAATTTAAACTAACAACTTTAGGAAGTACAAAGAAGAGCATTATATAGGAATAAAGGGTTCAATTTTAAAAGAAAGGTTAACTATTCTATATATATATATATATATATATATATATATATATATATATATATATATTTGCATTCAACATTGCAGCAACAGGATTCATAAACCAAGTTCTTCTTGACCTACAAAAAGATATAGACAGCCACACAACAATAGGGGGAGATTTAAACACCTCACTGACAATGTTAGACAGATCACTGAGGCAGAAAACTAACGAAAAATTTCTGGACTTAATCTCAACCCTTGATCAACTGGATCTAATAGACTTCTATGGAATACTGCATGAAACTTGCACAGAATATAAATCATTCTCACCTGCACATGGAACATATTATATGTTCAACCATTGAACATAAGCAATTCTCAATAAATATAAAAAATTGAAGTTATCCAAATCAAAGTCTGAGACCACAAGGCATTCAAAATAGAAATCAATATCAGGAAGCTCTCTCAAAACTACACAAATACAAGAAAATTAAACAACTTGCTCCTGAATAATTTAAATGAACAACAAAATTAAAGCAAAAATTTAAAAAAATTAAAATTAATGAAATCAAAGGCACAACTTACCAGAATATTTGGGATGCAGTACAAGAAGTGTTAAGAGGAAAGTTTACAAAGTTAAATGCCTTCATCAAGAAGTTAAAAAAATCTCAAGTTAACTATCTACTACTGCATTTAAAGGAACTAGAAAAAGAAAGAGAAAACTTTGTCCAGGCCTGATGGCTCATGGCTCATGCCTATATTCCCAACACTTTGGAGTACCAAAGCTGGAGGATCACTTGAGCCCATGAGTTCGAGACCAACCTGGGAAGCATATAAAGACCCTATCTCAACAAAAAATATATAAATTAGCTGGGTGTGGTGGTTTACACCTATAGTCCCAGCTACTTGGGAGGCTGAGGTAGGAAGATCACTTGAGTCTGGGAAGGTCAAGATTGGTCAAGGTCACTGAAGTGAGCTATGATCATGTCACTTACTACAGCCTGACTGACAGAGACCCTGTCAAAAAAGAAAACAAACAAACAAACAAACGAAAAACAAAAACGCCCCCAACCCTCACCCCGCCAAAAGAACCCAGTCCAAACACCAGCAGCATAAAATAAATAGCTAAAATTAGATAAGAACTGAATGAAATTTAAACACAAAAATCCATAAGGTAGATCAAAGAAATCAAGGGTTTCTTCTTCAAAAGAGTAAATAAGATTGATAGACTGCTAGCTACACTAACAAAGAAAAAGAGAAGATCCAAATAAATATAAATGACAAAGGTGACATTACACCTGATCCAACAGAAATACAAGAGATCCTCAGAGATAATTATGAACAAATAAAAATGTATACTATTAATACAAACTAGAAAATTTAGAAGAAATGAATACATTCCTGAAAACACACAACCTCCTAAGACTGAACTAGGAAGAAAGTAACGACTGAATAGACCAATAACAAACTCTGAAATTCAATCAAAGAAAATTTACCAGCTTTAAAAAGTCCAGGACCAGACGGATTCACAGGCAAATTCTACCACATACACAAAGAAGACTGGTACCAATTCTAGTGAAACTTTCAAAACAATGTAATAGGAGGAGTTCCTGCCTTACTCATTCTATGAAGCTAGCTTAAGCTAAATACCCAAGTCTGGCAGAGATATGACCCAAAAAAGACAACTTCAGAACAATATTCCTGATGAACATAAGCGCCAAAATCCTCAATAAAACACCAGCAAACGGAAACCAGCATTACATCAAAAAGTTAATTCATCATAATCAAGTAGGATTTATTCCTGGGATACAAGGTTGGTTCAACATGTTGACATTAATAAGTGTGATTCACCACATAAACAGAATTCAATACAAAAGCCATATGATCATTTCAATAGATGCAGAAAAAGCTTTCAATAAAATATGACATCCCTTCATGATAAAAACCCTTTACAGACTAGGCACCAAAAGAGCATACCTCAAAATACCAAGAGCCATCTATGACAAACCCACAACCAACATCATACTGAATGGGCAAAAGCTGGAGGCATTCCCCTTGAGAACTTGAAAAAGACAAGGATACCCACTCTCACTACTTTTATTCAACATAGTATTGGAAGTCCTAGCCAGGGAAATTAGGCAGGAGAAACAAATAAAATGCATTCAGATAGGAAAAGAAGAAGTCAAACTATCTCTCTTAGCAGATGATATGTCATTCTATACCTAGAAAACCCTAAAAACTCAGCCAAAATGGGCCTGGAACTGCTAAACAACTTCAGTAGAGTTTCAGAATACAAAATCAATGCACAACAACCAGTAGCATTTCTATACACGAATAATGTTCAAGCTGACAGTCAAATCAAGAATACAATCTCATTTACAATAGTCAGCAAAAAATGAAATACCTAGGAATACAGCTAACCAAGGAGGTGAAAGATTTCTACAAAGAGAAATATAAAACATTGCTGAAAGAAATCGGGGATAACACAAACAAATGAAAAACATTCCATGCTCATGGATTGGAAGAATCAATATTGCATGACTTTTATGTAGTAAGTATAACAGGTTCATTTTGTATATTTAAATGCAATACTTTATATTTATATGTCATAATAAAATAATTTGCATAGATTCAGGGGATTTATTTCAATTGGTAAAATTTTCATACCTTACAAGATTCAGTACTTGCTATTTCCACCACTAAACATCTGAGAGTGCTTTCCAATGTCCTTGGTATTGTATTAAGTATTGTATAAATTAACATTATAAATGCTTCAAAGTTATTGAAGCATTTCGTAGACAGTTGTCCACGAAAATAATGCAGTTATAGTTAAAGCTTTTTGTTTAACCTTATACAACAATTTAGAAAGTTAATCCTATGATGTGGAAACTTACCAGTCTATTTCTATACTTAACTTGGCCACCCTTAGGTAAATACAATTTTCATTGTCTCTTTCCTCCTACCAGATAAACTAAGAATCTTTGAAAGCCTTAACTCTATTCACACCCTTGTGTTTTACTATCTACTCTTTACAGTTTTTAAAATCTACTTTTACTTAAAATTTTATGACTCTCATTGTAGGCATTTCAGTTGTGCTTCAATTTACCTGCATAATTGACAATATCTTTTCTAACTGTTACTGTTAGCAGTTTATTCTTTTAAATTTAATTTCTTTCTATCTGAAGTATGAACTTTATAATCTGTTTTGTAAGGGCATGCTTTTTTAAAATTATCTCTTTCATTATTTTACCTAAAAATGTTTTTTCCCCAATATGCAGTCCTACTTAAGTGAATAAAAACAGTTTGTGTTGCAGATTTTTCTTCCAACATTTTAAAGATATTATGCTGTATGAATTGTTTATTTGAAGCATCTGCTCTCAGTATACTAATTACTTTTCTTCACAACTTACTTTAACACATTCAATTTGTCATTGGAGTTATGTTTCCTTATTACTTTAGGAATTTGTTGGAATTCTTAAATCTAAGTTCATTTCTTTACTAAATTTTGCAAAAATTCTTGGTCATTATGACTTCATTATTTCCCCCATTCTTTACTTTTCTTGCCTTCTAGGAGTCCTATGATCTATCATTTTGTCATATTCTGTATGTCTCTTATTCTCCTTTATATTTTTATATCATTCCGACATATATATATATGTATATATATATATATATATATCTCAGAGGAATTATATATAATTTTAAGGATATACTTCAGTACACAAATTCTATTAGCAGCTGTGTTAATTTGTTTTATACCCATCATTGAGCTTAGGTTTTAATTAAATTAGTGTTCATTCTAATTGCTAGAATTTCCATTTTTCCAGTTTTGCCTTTCTTAAACACATCTGATAAGACTTTGTTCATTTGAGATTATACCATTGTAACTTAATCAAGGTAAACATGCTTATATTCTTTTATCCTGTATTTTAAATAATTAAACTTTCTGTAAGCCTACCTTTGCCACTTACTCTCTCTGCTGATTTTCATGATAGATTATTTCCTTTTGAGGATTATAATTTATAATTAACAGTTTATATTCAGTATGGCTTTATCTGTGGAAATCTTTGTGCCTGATACAAGGGTGTGTCCCTCCAAAGACATTTTTGTCTCAGTTTCTGTTTGATTACCTAGGTGTTATCAACAAAAATTGGCGTTAGTATATATTTTGTTGCTTGGAATTAACCGAACCATTCATCTTTAAAATGAAAACCTCAAAACTACCTCTATTAGTCTGTTCTCATGTTGCTGCTAAAGACATACCCAAGACTTGGTAATTTATAAAGGAAAAAGTTTTAATTGACTCACAGTTCTACATGGCCGGGGAGGCCCAGCAATCATGGCAGAAGGTGAAGAAAGAGCAAAGTCACATCTTACATGGTGACAGGCAATAGAGTGTGTGCAGGGGAACTGCCTTTATAAAACCATCAGATCTCATGAGATTTATTCACTGTCATGATAACAGCATGGGAAAAACCTGCCCCCATGATTCAATTACCTCTCACAGGGTCCCTCCCATGACACTTGGGGATTATGGGAACTACGATTCAAGATGAGATTTTAGTGAGGGTACAGCCAAACTATTTCACCCCCTAAAGTGTGAATAGGATATATTAATTCTCATATAAATTTGTTTTAGTCACCCAGACAAGCATTCATGTTTTCCTCATTGAAAGTGGGTATGTTTTGTGTAATTCCCATTTTTATAAATGATATAATTTTGTGTCTTTCTACATATTTTAGTTAAGTTGCAGATTTTTTTGTGACAAATATCGGCAAATATAGAGCAAATATATACAGGCATACTTCAGAGGTATTGTGAGTTCAATTTTAACCCATTGCAATAAAGTGAATATAGCAATAAAAGGAGGAAAATGATTTTTTTTGGTTTCACAATGTATATAAAAGTTACATTTACACTATACTATAGTCTATTAAATGTGCAATAGCATTAAAGTAAAGAAAAAAGCAATGCCCATACCTCAGTTAAAAAATACTAAAATGAAGCTAAAAATACTGATGATTATCTGAGCCTTAGTCCTATACTTTCTGCTGGTGAATGGTCTTGGTCTTGCCTTGATGTTCAGGAGATGGTTGCTGAAGGTTAGAGTAGTTGTGGCAATTTCTTAAGACAAGACAACAATAAAGTTTGCTCTATCAATTGACTCTTCTATTCACAAAAGATTACCCTGTGGCATGCTATGCTACTTGATAGCATTTTCTCCACAGTAAAACCTCTTTCTAAATTGGAGTTGATCCTCTCAAACTCTGCCACTGCTTCATTTACTAAGTTTATGTAATATTCTAAATTATTTGTTGTAATTTCAACAATATTCATGGAATTTTCACCAGGTGTAGATTCCATCTAAAGACAGCACTTTATTTGCTCATTCATAATAAGCAACTCCTCATTCATTCATGAAGTTTTATTAGATTGAAGCAATTCACTCTCATCTTCAGGCTCCACTTTTAATTCTAGTTCTCTTGCTATGTTCACCTCATCTGTCATTATTTCTTTCACTGAAGTCTTGAATCCCTCAAAGTCATCCATGAGGCTGGTAATCAACTTCTTCAAAACACCTGTTAATATTGTCATTTTGACCTCCTCCCATGAATTATGAATGTTCTTAATGGCATTTGAAATAATGAATTCTTTCCAGAACGTTTTCAATTTATTTTGCCGATATCTGTCAAAGGAATCACTGTACATGGTATCTACAGCCTTACAAAATGTGCTATTTAAATAATAAAACTTGGAAGTTGAAATTACTTCTTGATCCACGGGCAACAGAATGAATATCGTGAAGGCAGGCAGGAAAGTAATGTTAACATTTTGTACATTTCCATCAGAGTTTTTGAGTGACAAGTGCATTGATAATAGCAGTAATATTATGAAATAAATATTTTTTTCTGAGCAGTAGATCACAACAGTGGGCTTAAAATATTGAGTAAACTACATTGTAAGCAGGTATTATGTCATCCAGGCCTTGTTCCATTTATAGAGCACAGGCAGAGTAGATTTAGCATCATTTATAAGAAACACAGTATTTCAAAATGGTAAATGAGCATTGGCTTTAACTTAAGGTCACTAGTTGCATTAGCCGCTGTGTACCCAGAAAGTCTGAGATAGGTCTCAGTTAATTTAGAAAGTTTATTTTGCCAAGGTTGAGGACATGCACCTGTGACACAGGCTTAGGAAGCCCTAATGACATGTGCCCAAGGTGGTCAGGGCACAGCTTGGTTTTATACATCTTAGGCAGACATGAGACATCAATCAATATATGTAAGGAATATATTGGTTCAATCTAGAAAGGCAGAACAACTTGAAACAATGGCAGAAAGACTTGACATGGGAAGGGAGCTGTCAGATCACAGATAGGTGAGAGATGATCACTTGCATTCTTTTGAATTTTCTCATTAGCCTTTCCAAAGGAGGCAATCAGATATGCATTTATCTCAATGAGCAGAGGAATAATTTTGAATAGAATGGTAGGCAGGTTTGCCCTAAGCAGTTCTCACCTTGAATTTTCCCTTGCCTTAGTGATTTTCGGGTCTCAAGAAATTTCCTTTCATACCTCCAACAAGAATCAGATTATCCTTTGAAGCTTTGAAGTTTTGAAGCCAGGCATTAACTTCCTCTATGTTGCTAGGAAAGTCCTAGATTTCATCTTCTTTCAATATAAAACTTTTTCATCTACACTAATATCTGTTTAGTGTAGCCTTTATTAATTATTTAAGCTAGATCTTCTAAATAACTTGCTGCAGCTTTTACATTGACACTTGCTGCTTAACTTTGCACTTTCATGTTATAGAGACAGCTTTTTTCCTTAAGCCTTATGAACCAACCTGTGCTTTCTGCAAACTTTTCTTCTGTTACTCGTTACCTCTTTCCACCTTGATAGAACTGAAGAGAATTAGGGCGTTGTTCTATATTAGCCTTTGGGTTAGGGGAATACCATGGCTGGATTGTTCTTCCATTCAAATCAAGAACATGTTTTCCATATTAGCAACAAATCTCTTTCATTTTCTCGTTGTTTGTGTACCCAATGTAATTGCACTTCTAATTTCCTTCAAGAATTTTTCCTCTACATCTACAACAATGATAACTTTTTAGCATAGAAGCTTAGTTTTCAGACTACTCCAGCTTTCAATATGCCTTCCTCACTAAGTTTAGCCATTTTTAATATTTGATATAAAGACATGAGAGACATGAGATTCTTCACTTGAACACCTAGAGGCC
The DNA here is from genome assembly GCF_000001405.40 of Homo sapiens. Lineage (NCBI taxonomy): Eukaryota > Metazoa > Chordata > Mammalia > Primates > Hominidae > Homo > Homo sapiens. The sequence continues at coordinate 83,082,557 of NC_000013.11, forward strand.
ATTTTAGGGTTATAAATTGGCCTAATTTTAATATTTTTGGGTCTAGGAGAATATGGCTGCCTGTGGTGAGGTTGAGAGACACAAGAATAGCTGGTGGGTGCATTAGTCAGAACACACACTTATTGATTCTATTCGTCTGTACTACATGGGTGTGGTTTGTGGTGCCACAACCCACAATTAGAATTGTAACATGAAAGATCACTGATTTCAGATCACTAAAAGAAGTAACAATATTAAAAAAGTTTAAGACATTACAATAGTTGATAAAATGGCATTTAGAATGGTGAATTCTTTCCATAAAGTTTTCAATTTACTTTGCTCATGTCTATCAGAGGAATCACTATACATGACAGCTATAGCCTTATTAAATGTATTTCTTAAATAATAAAATTTGAAAGTTGAAATTGGTTTTTGATCTATGGGCTATGGAATGAATGTTCTGTGTCTCCATACTGAGACATGAAGTATGCTCTCCCATGTTGTTGAAAAAACAATGTTGATAGACTTGCTCAACACAGGGTTGCCACAAATCTTCAATATGTAAAAAATGCAATATCTATGAAGTGCAATAAAGCAAAGATCAATATAATAAGGTCTGCCTGTATATTTTTCTGTTTTTCAGGTATCTTTTAAAATTTGGACATTTGGTATTTCCCTGAAATTATTGTGATTTTAGCTTTTTATTTAAGAATTTATCTTTTTTATTAAAATGTGTTTCAAGTGAGGCTTTTCAGAAAAGTTAGTCTATAAAATTCTTAAAAAGGGGTTTATTTAACTTTAGTAAACTTGATAACCATTCAGTCATTAGCAAACTTGCATTCATCACTTCTGTATACAGCACTGTGAAAAATTTTGAAAATATAATATGTAAGTTAAAAGTGGGTAACCAAAAACTATACCATTGAACAACTCACAATATCTAATACAATGGTTGGTATAAACTATATTATTTATCTCTATATATACTTAGATTGATATTGACAGGGCAGGAGCATCGCAATCTTGGACAAGCACTGCCATTCTAAAGTTCACCTGGATCAAAAACTGCCTAAATCCAAAGGGCATCAGCCTAATGTCTAAGGTCAGCATGCCCATAAACCACAAATGAAATCTCAGACCAGAAAGATTCCAAACTCCTCCCCGACGACAGACATGCCAGCCCTGAGACATCTCCCCTCTGGCTGTAGAGATGTCAGCCCCAAAATAACTTCCCCTCCTACCAGAGATATTCCAACCCAGCCATAAACTTCTCCCCCATATGGAAACATTCCAAGCTCTCTTGTCAATAAATACTCTGTAAGAGACAGCACTCCTGACCAAAATCGGCCAGGACCCCCTCTCAGGTTTATTCTCCAAAATAAAACTGTCTGACTGTTAAGCTGCTTTTCATGTTTCATTCCTCTTTCTTTAACTCTTACAGATATAAATGTATATTTGTGTATTTTGAATATTTATGTTTATTTACATATTAAAATTTATGTTTCATGCATACAAAAACACATAAACACAAAGAGAGAGGATAATCCAAAGATGATATTCTCTCGAATACGAGATTTAAATGTGATGGGACGTCTTACACATTGTCATTTATTTTAGCTATTCTTGCTTTCTTCTTATCAAAAATATAACTGTTGCCTAATATTAATTTTGTTTTACATTGTTTAATATTTTTACTCACGAATTTTACTTACTTTAAGATAGACCTTAAATTCAGACTATAATCTGAAGTTTAAACTTTGAGAATAGAAAATATGTATATTCTGAGTAATAGTAACAAAAATTTATACTGATATTATTCATAATTATATTAAATAAATAACAATACTATGATAAGTTAACCTTCTAATACAGTAATAATTACAACTTTTTCAGGGAATATGTGACTTTTGTTTCTGTTATTTGACAACCAGTATTGTTTGTTAAAATAAAACCATCAAGCATCAGGAATCATCTCTGGGTGAAGGATTAACTAAAGTTAATCAATCAGAGTGACAGTGAAACCTGGCTATATGTGGATTTTACCTGATTGATGATTGGATAATAACTTATTTTCCATCCTAAGGAAAAAAAATGCTGCTATGCTGTCAATAACCTGCAGTTAATTCCAGTTAATTCCTACTACTGCCATATCAGAATGTATTCAACCAATTTAGACTTCATGCTTGTTAGCTGGATTGTATTCACATAATAAGATGAACAGCATCAGAAAGTGATACCTTGATAAGAGGACTCTGGCCTTACTACTCTTACTATGTCTGTTATTTGCAGAAATGCACAAATATACTTATATATGCAGTTGCATCGTTTTTTCTATAATACTGTAGAGCACAGCACTGTGCTTGGTTTCAAATATCAGGAAAGGACTCCAACTACATAGAAGATAGCAACATCATTGTTATCCCAACCACCAGAAAGAGCAGTCCAAACACTTCTGCTTACTGTACTGTGGTATTGGAGTTACCAAGAAAAACAAAACAATCACCATGTGAAACAATGCTTTTCTCACATAGAGAAGAAACAGCACAAAATTAGTTGCAATAGCATCAGTACCCCAGGGCTAGCAGGTAAACTCCCACTTCTCACTCTTACACGTACCCCCCTCATTCTGCAATAGAAGTACTCTGCCCATTCCCCTGTGGAGTCTAAAACAATAAAAACTAGGGGTACGCCTCAAGGCCATTGATGACATGCTTAAGGCAACAAAGGCACACACTGTATCTGAAACAGGGAAAGATATTCTCACGCAAGTGGATAAGGCATGTACAGGCTGTGTGCATGCTTTCATTCTTGTTAAGGAAGTGTTCCAGGCCTAAGGTCTATTCTTACATCATTAAGCACAGTTGAAACACTGCTGTATGAAGCTGCCTTTCCCAACAAATACACTTAATAAGTAGCAGGAACACAATCTGAAATACAACACAAGAGTTGTTAAACTCAAGGGTGAGAGATCAGGATACTTACTAGAAAGACCAGCAGAAAAAAATCAATATGGGTCCCAAAATGACTTTAGCAAAATAATAAAACAAAATAATTTACATAGAGAAATAGTAGTCTCTAGTAAAAAGAATTATAATTTTCTCTAACTTGAGCAAATAAATTGAGAGTTATAAGCATGCTTTACCAATGAGTCAAGCACAAACTTATGTTGAAATAGTGAATCCCAAAAAGGCAGAAGCAAGTTAGCATAAGCTGTAGCATTATGTGGCATTTAGGAAGGAAGAGATTATCAAAGCATTGTAATGTAAATGATGGATACACACAAATCTAGAAATATGTAATTAGTAAGTAGAATGTTTACCAGTTTTAGATACATGATGACAAATTCTGGTAAAAACAAAGCAAATAATATAAAAATTTCTGTGCATAAATCAGATTATCCAGATAATCTCAGCAGGATTATAAAAGGCAAATTATTTAAACCTAGCCTGATACCAAGAATCAAATTATATGATGAAATTAATCTAAATATTAAATGACACAGAGGATGGTTATTATTGTTGATATATTAAATTTTAGAGGTATAAGACATATTTGCCATGTTATTCAATTTCTCCACAGTGATCAAGAATAAAGTGAATTACAGAAACTAAAAATGACAGAGCTTATTTGTAAAACAATGAGGAACAAAGTATAGGATGCTGCACACATTTTCATCAGGTAGTTTTACTATCACCTATTATTCATTGAATGAGTTGCAGTGCTCTCACTTGTGTTCACTTGGGAGATAAAAATGTTTATATAACCCTAAATAGTTTCTATGTGTTTATTAGTCTTTGGAAGAGCTTAATCAAAAACATGACTCAGAAGATAACAGAAACAGCCTTATGTTCAATTCATTACAAGTGGGAAAAAATTACCAGCTCCATTTCAGCAATCATAAAGATATATTAATAATATTTTGAGTCAACCTTCATTAAACTTCTGCAAACCCAGTCACCAATTCCAATTTCTAACCATCAGGAAATGAATATTAAAGTAGATAGTTTGTGCAGTGAAGTCTAAAAACAAAAGAGAGGCAGAACAAATACTTCTGTGCCTTCAAGGAATTTTAATCCATTAAGAGAGCTAAAATATACTCCAATTTAATTGCTAGAGAAAACAAGTTGAAATGTAGAATTTATGTTTTAACTGAGTACAGAGAACTGTTGAGTGGACATTAAGGTAATCCAAGGAACAAATTATAGTGGACTCCTCTATGACATGAATTTACACCTGTATATTAAAGAAAAGAGGGACCCAAATGATCTGATTGAGAAATAAAAATATTTCAATACTGAGAATTTTATATGTTAAGACTCAAAGTGAAATACACAATTTCATAAAGTTGGTAAAAGGAAGGTAACCCCCTAATTTGACATTACAGGGGAGAATGGGAAACAGAAAATATTGAATTTTAAAAATAAAGTTGATGGATTTATGTTCATACTTACATATCATAAATCTTAGTCATCTTATACAAATACAGGCATAACTTATAAGTTATGCCTGTATTTGTATTTGCATTTACAGTATTCCCCTTTTATGGTCAATCAAGATCTAAAAGTATTCAATGGAAAATTCCAGAAATAAACAATTCATGATTTTACATTGTGCAACATTGTAAGTAGAGTGAGGAAATCTTGCAGTCCTGCTCTATCCCATTTGGGATGTGAATCATTCCTTCATCCAGGTAGTCCACACTGTATAAAATACCCCTTAGACATTGATGTATTTACTCCTGACATGCAGCCATATGCATCTTCATGGCTTGATAATTTAGAAGCAAACGATCCCCTATACTTGCCTAATGCTAAATCACAACGCCTACCATCATTCACCTCACTTCATCTCATCACATTGTCACCTTATTCTCACATCATCACAAGAAGTAGAAAGATGATTACAGTAAAATATGTCAAGAGAGGAGAGAAATATCATATTACATAACTTTTTATGGTATATATTTATAATTGTTCTATGTCCTATTTTATTATTAGTTGTTAATCTCATGTTGTCTAATTTATAAATTAAACTTTATCATAGGTATGTACGTATAGGAAAAAATATATATATAGGGTTCTGAACTATCTGAAGTATTAGAGAGACTGCTGGTTTGGAAACCTATTGCTCCCCATACCCCCTCAGATAAGGATGAACTACTGTAGACTTACCTGGATTTCAGCTTTATGAGCACTAGAATTTTGATTTTAATACTTAGTATCTAAATTTTTCAGCTAACTATGAATTTTGTTGCTTTTAAAAATAATTTCAACTTTCATTTTAGATATGGGGGTATGCAGGTACATTTGTTACATTGGAATATTGTGTGGGGTTCAGACCCTGTCATACAGTTGGTGAGCATAGCACTCAATAGGTAGTTTTATTAACCCACTTCCTTTCCCTCCACATGCAGTGCCTATTGTTCCCATGTTTATGTCCATGTGTATTCAATGTTGATATGGTTTGGCTCTGTGTCCTCACCCAAATCTCAAGTTGAATTATGATATTTAGTATTGGAAAAGGGGCCTGGTGGGTGGTGATTGGATTATGAGGGTGATATCCCCCTTGCTGTTTTGATAGTGAGTGAGTTCTCATGAGACCTGATGGTTTAAAAGTGTCTGGCACTTCCCCCATTGCTTTCTTTCCTTCCTGTCACCATGTAAAGGTGTACTTGCTTCCCCTTCACTTCCCACCATGGTTGTAAGTTTCTTAAGGCCTCCCCAAACAATCCTCCCGTACAGCCTGTGGAAATGTGAGTCAACTAAACCTCTTTTCTTTATAAACTACACAGTCTCAGTCAGTTCTTTATAGCAATGTGAGAACAGACGAATACAGAAAATTGTTACCAGGAGGTGGGTACTGCCATAAAGATACCTGGCAATGTGGAAGCGACTTTGTAACTGGATAATAGGCAGAGGTTGGAACAGTTTGGAGGGCTCAGAAGAAGACAGGAAGATGAGGGAAAGTTTGGAACTTCCTAGAGATGTGTTAAATAGTTGTGACCAAAATGCTGATAGTGCTATGGATAGTGAAGTCCCATCTGAGAAGGTCTCAGATGAAGATGAGGAAGTTATTGGGAACCAGAGCTAAGTTCACTCTTGCTATGCTTTAGCAAAGAGACTGGTGGTGCCCCTGTTCTAGAGATCTGTAGAACTTTAAACTTGAGAGAGCTGATTTAGGATATCTAATTGGAAAAGTTTCTAAGCAGCAAAGCATTCCAGATGTAGCCTGGCTGATTCTAAAAGCCTACACTCATTTGCATAAACAAAGAAATGACCCAAAACTAAATCATATTTAAAAGGAAAGCAGAGCATAAACGTTAAAAAAAATTTGCAGCCTGACCAGGCGGTAAACAAACAAACAAAAACATTTTCTGGGGAGGACTTCAAGCCTGCTGCAGAAATTTGCATAAGTAAAGAGGAGCTAAATGTAAATACTCAAGCCAATGGGAAAAAGGCCTCCAAGACATTTCAGAGACCTACTCAGTAACCCCTCCCATCACAGGCCTGGAGGTCTAGGAGGAAGAAACAATTATATGGGCCAGGCACAGGGCTCCATTGCTCTGTGCATCCTTGAGACATGATTCCCCACATCCCAGTCACTCCAGCTTTAGCTGTGGCTAAATGAGGCCAAGATACAGCTGAGGTCATTGCTTCAGAGGGTGCAAGCCCAAAGCCTTGGTGGCTTCCATATAGTCTTGGGCCTGAAGGTTCACAGAAGGCAAGAGTTGAGGTTTGGGAACCTCCACCTAGATTTCAGAAGATGTACTGAAATGCCTGGATGATCTGGGAAAAGTTGGCTACAGGGGTAGAGCCCTTATGGAGAACCTCTACTAGGGCAGTGCAGAGACAATATGTGGGATTGAAGCCTCCACATAGAGTCCTCGCTTAGGCACTGCCTAGTGGAGCTTTGAGAAGAGGGCCACCATCCTCTAGACCCCAGATTGGTAGATCCACCAACAGCTTGCACCATGCACCTGGAAAAGCCACAGGCATTCAATGCCAGCCCACGAAAGAAGCTGCAGGTGCTGTACTCTGGAGAGTCATGGGGATGGATCTGCTCAAGGCCTTGGGAGCCCATCTCTTGCATCGGTGTGCCCTGAATGTGAGACATGAAGTCAAGGAAGGTTATATCAGAGATTTAAGATTTAATGACTGCCCTGCTAGGTTTTGGACTTGCATGCAGCCTGTAGTTTCTTTATTTTGGCCAATTTCTCTCATTTGGGTATAGGAACATTTATCCAATGTATGTACTCCCATTGTATCTTGGAACTAACTTTTTTTTTTAATTTTTTTTTTTTTTTTTCATTTTACAGGCTCATAGGCAGAAGAGACTTGCCTTGTCTTAGATGAGACTTTGGACATGGATGTTCAAATTAATGCTAAAATGAGTTAAGACTTTGAGAAACTTTTGGGAGGGCATGATTCTGTTCTGAAATGTGAGAACATGAGATTTGGGAGGGGTCAAGGATGGAATGATATGGTTTGGTCCTGTATTCCCACCCAAATTGTATGTTGAATTATGATCTTAAGTGTTAGAAGAGGGGCTTGGTGGAAGGTGACTGGGTCATGGGGACAGATTTTCCCTTGATCTTCTCATGATAGTGAGTGAGCTCTCATGAGATCTGATGATTGAAAAGTGTGTGACACTTCTACCTTCACTCTCTGTCTCTCCTTTCACATGTGAAGATGTGCTTGCTTCCCCTTTGCCTTTTGTCATTTTTTTAAGTTTCGTCAAGCCTCCCCAGCGATGCCCTCTGCACAGCCTGCAGAACATGAGTCAAATAAACCTATTTTCTTTGTAAACTACACCTTCTCAGGTAGTTTTCTTTGCAGCAATGTGAAAGTGAACTAGTATAAATGTTCAGCTCCCACTTATAAATGAGAACATGCAGTATTTAGTTTTGTTTCTGAATTAATTTGTTTAGGATTATGGCCTCTGGCCCCATCTGTGTTGCTGCACAAAAACATGATTTTATTCTTTTTCATGACAGTGTAGTATTCCGTGATGTATCTGTGCCACATTTTCTTTATCCAATTTATGATTGATGGACAACTGATTTGATTCCATGTATTTGCTATTTTGAATAGCACAGTAATGAACATACAAGTGTATGTGTGTCTTTATGGTAGAACAATTTATTTTACTTTGGGTATATGCTCAGTAATGGGGTTTCTGGGTCTAATGGTAGCTCTGTTTAAGTTATCTGGAAAATCTCCAGACTGCTTTCCACATTCACACCAACAGTGCTTAAGGATTCCCTTTTCTCCACAGCTTCACTAGCGTCTGTTGTTTTTTGACTTCTTAATAATGACCACTCTGACTGCTATGTAATGTTATCTGATTGTGGGTTTGATTTGTATTTCTCCAATAATTAGTGATGCTGAACATTTTGTAGAATTTTTTTTTTTGGCCACTTGTATATCTTCTTTTGAGAATTGTCTGTTTTTGTCTTTTGCCCATTTTTCGATGGGGTTAGTTGTTTTTTGTTTGTTGATTTGCTAAGTTCCCATATAAATTCTGTATAATAGGTCTTTATCGAGTGCACAACTTGCAAATATCTTCCTCCATTCTGTATGTTGCCTGATTACTCTACTGGTAGTTTATTTTGCTCTGCAGAAGCTCTTCAGTTTATTTGGGTCCCGCTTGTGTATTTTTTATTTTGTTATAATTGCTTTTGGAAACTTAGCCAAAATCTTTTGCCAAGGCTGATGTTGAGAAGTATATTTCCTAGGTTATTTTCTGGGATTTTTATGTATGAGGTCTTAACATTTAAATCTTTAATCCATTTTGAGTTTATTGTTGTATGTGACAAAAAACAGAGGTCTAGCTTCAATCATCTGCATATGGCTAGCCAGTTATTCCAGCACCATTTATTGAATCGGAAGTCCTTCCCACATTGCCTTTTTCTGTTGGCCTTGTCAAAGATCAGATTGTTATACGTGTATGGCTTTACACGGAGAACTACGCAACGCTGCTGAAAAAATAAGAGCGGACACAAATGAATGCAAAAATATTCCATACTCATGGATTGGAAGAATCAAAATATAAATGACCATACAGCCCAAAGCAATTTACAGATTTGATGCTACTCCTATCAAACTACCAATTTCATTCTTCACAGATCTAGAAAAAACTATTCCAAAATTTGTATGGAAGCAAAAAAAGCCCAAATAGCCAAGCAAAAAGAACAAAGCCAGAGGCATCATGCTACTCGACTGCATACTGTACTATAACACCACAGACACAAAAACAGCATGGTACTGGTACAGAAACAAACACATAGATCAATGACACAGAATAGAAAAGTCAGAAATATAGCTGCATAAACATTTTGCATTTGTTTAAGGAGAAATGTGTGGCAACAAAAAGGATTTGGTTAATAATTGTGTCAGTCACATTTTGTATTGATAGTCAGTTTTAAATGATCTTACCCTACATTATTTTATTTCATTCCACATGAAATTTTTTTTGAGAAATTGGTGCTAATCATATCATATTGTGTACATTTTATGACCCAGTAGTTAACAAAATAGACAAAAGTTGCAGACCTTGAGAAGCTTATGCCTTAGTGGAAAGAGACAAAGAGTAAACTTACCAGAGTAAGTGAGTAAATAATGGTGACAGGGCTATGTAAAAGAAAGTGGGAGATCATGATTGAGTCCCAAGGTCTTTCAATTATAACCAGGGTTTTCAGGGTTGGCTCTGATCTACTTCTTCTGCCTTTGCTCAGATGTTTGAAGAGAAATTATAATTGCCTTCATTGCTGCAAAATGCCTTATTTTCTTCTAGTATATTTTACAAAATATTACCTTTTTTGCTGAACTAGATCTGAAAATAGTGCATGTTGCTAAAGTTCTTTAGCAAATTGTTCTCTTCACTATGCTCAATAAGCAGTTTACAGAAAAATTACATAATTTTCTCAAATAATACATTTTTCTAACTACAATTACCCATTTATTCTTAAATGTCTGACATTCATTCTTCTATTGCCTGGATAACAAACTATTGTAATATTTTAATTACATTATATTTGTTTTTATGTTCCATTTAAACTTAGTTATTAATGGCATGCCTCTTTTTATAGAAACAGAAATGTATGCAGCATCACACATTTATTATTAATATTATATGTTAATGATATTGAGCCTACACAAACTTAAATGTATTATACCACAATGATTCTTTTTAAAACATCTAGTGTTTGCTGTGTTTTTCTATCTGTACTTATGGTTTTTTAAGTTATTTTTCTGTGTGGGGTTTGGGGCTGCCTGTCTGTGATCTGAAGAATTTACTGAGAATGTATTCTCAAAGCCAAAGCCAGCAGAAAATCATCTGCTGTACTCTCTGACCTTTGCTTCATTCTCTTCTCTCTCCCTTTGACCCTTTGTTTTGAGTCTGTGAGCTGCATTTATAAGGGCCTTGTGAATAAATTGAACACACTTGGGTAATCAGTTTAACGTCAGCTGACTAGCAAACTTAAATTCTTTCTTCAGAGCCAGCAATGACAGGTGAAGTCTTTCTCAAATCCCCTCACTTTTTCTCCATTTCATCTTCACATCTTGTTCTTTGATTCTCTGTTTTTCTGCCATCCTCTTCCACGTTTCAGGACTTCATTATTATATTGGCCCCACCTTGGAATTCCAGGTTAATTTCTCTACTTTAAGATTAGCTGATTAATAATCTTAATTATAACTTCAACCTTAATACCTCTTTACTATGCCACCCAACATGTTCACATGTTCTGAGAATTAAAATATGAACACTTTTGGGAGGCATTATTCTGATTACCACATGGTTACAACAAAAGTATGGAATCTTATAAATAGTTGTTAAGCACAGTATTTTTCAGAATTGTAAAGAAATATTATTTTAAAATTTTCCATATGGTTTTCTTCTTAATGCATGAGTGATTCTACAGCATTCTTGACATATGGTTTTCCTGAGAGGAACATTTTGCAAATATTCTTATCCATCTCGTTAACACTATTTTGATAAAATTAAAATCTGTATTTTAAATTTCATAAAATATCTCTTTCACCTCTCCTTTTAGTTTGTATAAATTCCTTGTGATTTATTCCCTCTGCCACCATTTCTTGTTTTTTCAAATTATTTCAGCAGAATATTTATTTATTTGAGAAATATTTATTCATTTGAGTAGATCTATATAATAATCCATTAAAAATCCAGTGTAATTTTCTTATTGTCAAACTTTCTTCTGTGAAATATTTTTCTATTAGAAGTCTTATAGTTTTCCACGTTCAAAGATATCTGACTGGCAAGAAGCCAGGGATGGTCCCATTCAGATAGATCTCTAGGCCTCATCACATATGATCCTGCCAAGTAGGCCCAGGTTGATTAGATTAGAGATGTGGACTCCCAATGTTATCAATCTATAATCTGCTTATTGTCACTTATGAGAAAAAGAATTCTGCTCAAAGACTTTGCCTATACACTATATGGTAGTGATTACCTACCCAAATCAATCCTGTCTCCTGGGCACTTGTAATTAGAAACACAGATAGAGATGGAGACTATGTTGATTAAAGAGATGGAGCCAACAAAAAGAAGTGTTAATAAAGAAAAACTGAATCAAGGGTGACAGAATTCACAGTATACAGCTAAATTGACATTACAATAACATCTTGTCTACACAGCCTGAAAATGAACCACCCTTAACTGTTAAAACTCAGTATTTTTCTCCTTACCAACAAAATGAGTTAAATTTACTTATATTTACAGGAAGATAAAAGTTAAAGTGTTCACAAAATGGGACAGGGGTTATATAGTCCAAAAATAGATAAATGGATAAAGAAGATGTGGTACATATACACAATGGAACATTATTCAACCATAAACAATAATGAAACTTTGTCATTTGCAACAACGTAGATGGAACTGAAACACATTATGTTAAGTGAAATAAGTCAGGCACAGAAAGACAAATTTTGCATGTTCTGATTATGTGGGAGATAAAAATTTAAAAAAAAACTCAATGATATAGAGACTAGAATGATGATTAGCAGAGGTTGGGAAGGTAGTGAGGAAAGAGGGGTAAAGTGAGAATGATTAATGCGTATAAAAATAAAATTGGACAGATCTAGTACTTAGTAGTGCAGTGGGGTGGCTATAGTTAACAATACTTTATTATGTATTTTTAAATAACTAAAAAACTGGAATTGGAATGTTTCTAACACAAAGAAGTGATCAATGCTTGAGGTGATACATACTCTAATTTCCCTGAATTGGTTATAACACATTGTATTTCTACATCAGAACATCACATGTAGCAGATAATTATATACAACCATGGGATACCTATAATAATTTAAAACTAAGAAATTTGGAGCAATGGCTTGAAAAATTTTTAAAACCAAAGAATATCTAACTCAGTAAAATTGAATGAATATTTATAGTGTGTTAATTCATCTTCTGCAAGTGTTCATATACATCAAACTACATCAAACTTTATTCCTACAAAAACCTTTGAGATAGGCTATAAGAATATATTTCAGTTTCTCAGTTTTAGGCAATATAATACATACTTTAGAGTTATACAGAGGCAGAATTTGAAAATAACCTCTTCATTTCTAATTCCATGTTCTTCATATATTTGAAATGTTATACATATTTCTTCAATTAGAAAAAATAAGAACAACAAAATTTTAGATGAAAAACAAGAGACTCTTTCTAACTTTCTAACATGATCACCAACTAAGCATATGCAAAATAAAAGAGAAGGCTATAGAGGAAAACTATCTGTAAGTGCTCTAACAATTATTATCTTTTTAATTGAGTATCTTTTTTATTCAGTATCAGGAAAGAAATAAATCATGTAGTAGTTTGCATTGGAGAGCTGTCATGGTTACTTTTATGTGTAAAAGTGACTGGGCTATGGGGTGCCCAGGTATTTGGTTAAATATGCTGTGTGTGTCTGTGAGAATGTTTCTAGATGAGATTAATACTTGATTTGGTAGAGTGAGTAAAGAAAAATTGCCCTCCCTAATGTGGGTGGGCCTCATCAAATTCATTGAAGGATTGAATAGAACAAAAAAGCTGAGTTAGGAAGATTGCCTCTCTCTCTCTCTCTCTATGTGACTGTCTTTTAGTAGGACCTCAGTCTTCTCCTGTCTTTAGTTTGAGACTCAGACTGGGCCTTATACACATACACAATCAGCTTTCCTGCTTCAGACTCAGGTTGAAACTATACCATACGTTTCCCTGTGTCTGAAAACCGTGTTAACTGCAAATCATGGGGCTTCTCAACTTCCATAATCACATGATCCACACAATCTTATTCCTTATAATTTCTCTCTCTCTTTCTTTCTCTCTCTCTCTCTCAACCCTTCATTTCATTTCTCTGAAGAAGCCAGACTAATACAGGGAATTAGTTAGAAAATATCCAATATCTGTCCAGACACTGTGGCTCATACCTTAATCCCAACACTTTCCTAGGCAAAAGCAAGAGGATCACTTGAAGCCAGGAGTGGAAGACTAGCCTGAACAACAGAGTGAGTCTCTGACTCTACAAATAAAAAAAATTAAACAGTCATGGGGCATGTGCCTGTAGTCCCAACTACTTGAAAGGCTGAGTTGGGAGGATTGCTTGAGGCCAAGAAGTAAAGGCTGCAGTAATCTATGATGGCATCACTACACTACAATCTGGGCAACAGAGCAAGATAGAAAGAAAAAAGAAAAGAGAGAAAGAAGGGAGAGAAAGGAAGGAAGAAGGGAGGGAAGGAAGGAGGGAGGGAGAGAAGGAAGGAAGGAAAGAAGGAAGGAGAGAGAGAGAGAAAGAAAGAAAGAAAGAAAGAAAGAAAGAAAGAAAGAAAGAAAGAAAGAAAGAAAGAAAGAAAGAAGGAAGGAAGGAAGGAAGGAAGGAAAGAAAGAAAGAAAGAAAGAAGGAAAGAAAGAAAGAAAGAAAGAAGGAAAGAAAGGAAGGAAGGAAGGAGAGAGAGAAAAGAAGGAAGGAAGGAGAGAGAGAAAGAGGAAAGAAAGAAAGAGAGGAAAGAAAGAAAGAAAGAGTGAGAGAGAGAGAGGGAGGGAGAGAGGAAGGAAGGAAAAAAGAAAGAAAAGAGAAAATATTCATTATCCGAGAAATCCAAAGAAATATCCAATAAATGGGTTCTCTTCAATTAAAAGCAGTTTAATTCTAAAGCTTGTAGCAAGAGATTAACGTGAATTTTTTATTCAAAGAATAACAGAAAATTTTTCAATTGTTTATGACTTGAAAAGACCTCTGTTTCACTGGCCAGACTTCATATACTGAAGTACTTACCTTGGGGCAGCTAATTATAGATCAAATTCCCATTACCTCATTAATTAATCTACCCAAATCAATCTCATTAATATTTAGAAATATGTTCTCTGAACTCCATCTCTACTAGTTCAGGTATTTATCATTTGTTTCCTAGGTTACTACAAAAATTTCCCATATTTTCTTTATTCTATTTCCACCCTGTACAAATCCATCATCTACATTATCATCAGAAAGAGAAACCAAAAATCTGAATCAAAACATTTAATTGACAAATTTAACAACTTTCAATGAGTGCTGTAAATACAGGATAAAATTCAATATCTTTTCATGGCATTCATAATCTTCTATGCTTTTTATTTTTATCCTCATTTCTGGATAATTTTATTTCATAGTTTACTCTTTAACAGGTTTTTTTATATATTGAAAGAACAATTCTTTTCCATATTCAACGCTCTGTTATCTGTATTTAAACATATTCCTATTAATACTTAATTTAAATTTTTTGTTTTCATATCTCTCACTATAGACTTTCAACTCACCTAAAAGCATAACCCATGTCTTATATACCTTTCCTCTTTTGTCCTGTACCTAAAACAATGCCTGGCATGTAGTTGGTGAACAACGTTTACTAGAATAACAGACTTGTGCACCCCCAAAATGTTTTCAAATAAATGCACATATCTTAGTTGTCATGTTAGAGTTCTTCAGAGAAACAGAACAAATATGACAAATATATGCATATTATATATATATATACATCATATTTTCTGTATTAATTCATCATTAGATGGGCATTGAGTTTGATTCCATATCTTTGCTATTGTGAATAGCACTGTAATAAACATGGAAGTGCAGGTGTCTCGTTTAACATACTGGTTTCATTTCCTTTGGACATATATACACATATTCAGCAACGTGGTTGAATGTTATAAAAGCTTAAGTATAAAAGCTAAATGTTACATATTGTCTTAAGTAAGTTAGCCTTTGTAAGATTTTTTTTTTTTTTTGCTTTATCTAGTATCTGATGATATTTGATCTTCCTCATAAATTTTTCACAAATTCTAGCTCTTGGTGCTTTCTAATGACCTTAAATAAATACTACATACAATAAATGATTTACACATTTTCAAGTGCTGTACTTCTTTTTTAATGTAATTAAACAATTTATAGTTGACATGTAATAATTGCATCTATTTCTGTGGGATACAATATGTTTCAATACATGTCTACATAGTATAATAACAAAATTTGGGTAATTAATATATCCACCACTTTAAACATTATCATTTCTTTGTGGTGACAACATCCAAAATCTTATTTTCTAGCTATCTTGAAAAGTACAATACATTGCTATTTGCTATAGTGACTGTACTATGTAATAGAACACCAAAATTTATTCTTCCTGTCTAACTGTAATTTTACACCCATTGACCAACATCTCCATTGTAGAAAACAGTATGGAGGTTTCTCAAAACATTTAAATGAAACTATCATATAATCCAACAATCCCATTACTGGATATGGAAAGTTACACTTATTCCTACTCAAAGTAGAGTAAAACAACTTTTTAGAAATGTTGAGTAAACCATCATTAAATTTTGCTGAGAAGTTGACAGTATTCACTTAACATGCCACTAAATATTTAATAAACATTTGACATATTTTGACTCGTTTTAGAGAATTTAGATATTTGTCAATTTTGGAAATGTTTTCACATCAATATCACTTGATATATCACAAATAGAAGAAGGATTTGTTATCACAAAATATCCATAAGGACATGGCTGTGTCCTTAGATAGTCATGAAGCTTTTTGTTGCCATTCCCTTTTTGCTGTTCTATAATTTTGTCACAAAACAGGAAAACTGAGGTCAAGAGGAACCTTTTGGCAGACAATGAATCTGGTGTTTTGCATAATACAGATGTCATTCCATTCTAACAAAATGGTTTAGCTGCTCAATTTCTCTATGTATATTTACTATGTGTTCAACTACATAGAAATGCCATTACAATTGCTTATCTCTATGTGCATATTTCTCTTTGTCATAAATTACCTTGTGGGAACATTTTTCTAAACAAAATGTACATGGCTATTTCTGTATATACCAAATGTGTGAATTCCAATAGTCTTTAATGAATGCTAGCTAATTATAGGTTCTAGCTAACTATGGTTTATAGTAATAGTTACTTTTCTGCTTCAAATATTGTTTGTTGCCTCAATTCATTTCAAGGTCCTATGATTTGGGAATTTCTGTACAAACTTGTATCCTGGGAATAAAATAAAATTATAGTTTTATTTATTTATATGATGTTTTATTTTAACTGAACTTAAAATTTCTTCCAGAAATATACATTATGACATGGTCAGTTGTGGTGATTCATGCCTGTAATCCCAGCACTTTGGGATGCCAAGGCTGGAGGATCACTTGAGGTCAGTTTAAGATCAGCCTGGCCAACAAGGTGAAACCCCATCTCTACTAAAAAAACACAACAATTACCTGGGTTTGGTGGTGGAATCCTGTAATATCAGCCACTCTGGAGATTGAGGCAGGAGAATGGTTTGAACCCGGGAGACAGAGGTTGCAGAGAGCGTGCCACTGCACTGCAGACTGGGTGACAGAGCAAGATGCCATATAAAACAAATATATACATATATATAACATATATTAAATATATACATATATAATGTAATACACATTTTTGTCATAATGTGTGTATATACATATAATATATGTATATAATATATTTTATATATATACACATATACATACATAATGTGTGTGTATATACATATAATATATGTATATATATACACATATACATTATATATGTATATATATTATATATATTATGTATATATACACACATTATTACAAAAATAAACTAAAATAAAATGTCATAGGTCAGGAAATGAAGATGAAAGTATAATAAAAATTTGAAATTAGATAAAGTCAGCAATGAAATTAGCATTCCAAATGTACTCTCTGTGATTTTTCTAGAGCTGGTGGACCATTTAGGCTTTTTCAGAAGCCTCATGTAGAAGCAGCATGTTTCACACAGTGCTCAACATCTAAGTGTAATCAACATTCAGTAATTGTTTTTAATGTTTCTCTATTGATTTGCATACATGCTGATGCAGGTTGAGCTTTATAAGGAAGAAGAAGAACAGAGGCAAGGATAAAATTAAACTGTTTTAGAATAACTTGTCATTATACAATTAGAATGACTTCTCCCAAACATAATTATTTAGATAATGTCAACGTTCCTATTTCATAATGTACTAAAAATAATCCTTACAAAATAATTAAAAGGGATGTATATAAACATATAAAGGTGATACAATCCTAACCGATTCCTGATTTGTTAGTAATAAAAGCAAATATATAAATATTTCTTTTGTCAGTTTATATTTTGCATAAATCATACATTCTTCTTAGAATCAATAAAAAAAGTGAGTAGTGGTCATTTGACCCTTAAGAACTTAAATTCATTTGTCTTTTATTCACCCCATGAGTTCCCTTTTGGAGAATAAATAATCAAAAATATCAGAGTGTGACAAGACTGACCAATACCAAATGGAATGTTTTGGGATGAGTTTAAGGCATGAGGCTGGCATCGTGGCATAAGATCACTGTGGAGACTGAGGATATGACTTAGGTCTCCTCCTACAGTAACTAATTGTAAAGCCTCATACATATGACAAGTTATCATGGGCATATACTACCTATAATCTTTTCCTCAATTGAAACAAGATTCTTTTAGATACATTTTTGAGTCAACTACATCTTCTTAACAGCCTCAATTAAAATCAACAAACAAAAATATCTCTGTATATCTTTGATAACATGAATATTTTTGTGCAAAGGTAATTGTGGTTTTTCTCATTACTTTTAATGGAAAAAAACGCACTTACTTTGGCACTAACCTAATATCTTTTAGAATAATTAGACCATAACCCTGAACATTCTTAAGTCTTTTACTACATTCTGAGAAATTAACTCTGAACTGATAAGAGAGAAAAAAATGCTATACATTTTAAGACTAATTAACAATATATTTAATAGGTACATAAAATGAAACCGCTATCAAGTTCTCTGTGAAACAATGCTCAAAGTTATTTCTGACCTTATTAAAATGTATGCATTAAAAATGAACTTATCCTTAAATATGTCAAATAGGAAATTCACATTTGGATCAATGTGAACCGAGGCTGGATTTACTTTGCTCTATGTAAAATACACATGCCAAATTCACATTTGGATAAAGGTGAATTTATTTATTTATTATTTATTTATTCTACATAGGGCAAAGTAAATCCAGCCTAGATTCACATTCATCCAAATGTGAATTCTCTACTTGACATATTTAAGGATAAGTTTATTTTAAATGCATGTAATTTAAATTCATGTGAATTTGGAGAAATGTGAACGTGGGCATGTGTGTTCTACATAGGGCAAAATAAATCCAGCCTAGGTTCGATTGATCAAGCCACATGTTTCCCTTTGCCAGGAAGAAAGAATAATTTTAATGCAACAAAAATATCTTATGCACGATGATTTGTCCCACTAGATTTATAACACTCAAGGGAGGGCCCTTTGTAACTCACCACCTTAGAGGTGATATTTTTCTCTAATCTGCACAAAGACAAAAGTTAGCTTTGACCTGGGCTTAAATATAAGTAGCCTCATATACCTAGAAAAATGTGTATATTTCTCTCACACATTCTTTATGAGACTTTGTGAAACCGTCCTAGTTCTTATGAGAAAAATCTTTAAGCTCCATTATATACAAGGAGGGGATTCATCCTGTCTGTATACTTTTTTCCCAAAGGATAAGAAGATTCCTTTTTAAGGGAATAAATCTATATGATCTCAATTTTTCTAAAGTCTAATGAGAGCACATGGACACAGGAAGGGGAACGTCACACTCTGGGGACTGTTGTGGGGTGGGGGGAGGGGGGAGGGATAGCATTGGGAGATATACCTAATGCTAGATGACGAGTTAGTGGGTGCAGCGCACCAGCATGGCACATGTATACATATGTAACTAACCTGCACATTGTGCACATGTACCCTAAAACTCAAAGTATAATAATAATAAAATAAAAAGAAAAGAAAAAAAGAAAGACTTGGCAAACAGCCTGAGAACTGCCATAAAACAAAACATTCCAGGGACTAACTTACTAGTCTATAGATCACCTTAAACTGCTCTGGAACTTTCAAGATTAAAGCAGGTCCTTAGAATGGCACCTATAAAAGTTTGTAACCTTCAGGCTGAGCCTGGAAGAGACCTACTACTAGTAAAAGTCTAGGCATAAAGGCAGGGTTACATTGGTGCACTTACCGATCTTAGATGTTTCACTCTGAATTTCAAATCTGGTTTATTGCTTTCTATCATTTTCGTCATCAGTGGGGAATTAAGAAGAGTTAAAGACACAGGAGATTGAGATCATCCTGGCCAACACAGTGAAACCCCGTCTCTACTAAAAATTACAAAAAATTAGCGGGGCGTAGCGGCGGCTGCCTGTAGTCCCAGCTACTCGGGAGGCTGAGGCAGACGCTGAGGCAGACGCTGAGGCAGGAGAATGGCGTGAACCCGGGAGGCGGAGCTTGCAGTGAGGCGATATCGCGCCACTGCACTCCAGCCTGGGCTACAGAGCGAGACTCCATCTCAAACACACACACACACACACACACACACACACAGTTGGCTTCAGACATACAATATTTTTAGAATCCCATTTACAAAATTTATTGAAAAATAGCATTAACAAAATCGTAGCTGTGGTTACTGATAAAAACTACTAAAAGTGGCTAAAAACAATGGATATTCCCTTTCCTTTTGTGAGTTTGGTTGGTTATTTAAATATGAGCAGATTGTGAAAAACAATGAAACACATAAATAATTTTCAGAAAACTATATAACCTCTGAATGTATACATGCATTGAAATATCACATTGTATTTCATAAATATGTGCAATTATATAATAATTATAAATTTAAAAAATAAATGAAAATATGTAGCCTCTGAATAAAGAAAATTATGTAATTACAAGGTCAGCCCTCCGCATTTGTTGATTGAGCATCCTAGGAGTCAACCAATCAGGATTGAAAATAGAGTATTTAGGGAATTCACAGACCTGCAGATGTGGAGAGTGGACTTTTGGTATTCACGGGTTCTGAATTTGAGGGTTGAGCATCTGCAGATTTTGGTGGGTGCACAGGGAAGTGACCTGGAACCAGTACCTCACAGATGGCAAGGGATGACTGTGTATTTATTATATAACAACATATAAGTATTATAATTGACTATCATCTATTAAATTAATAGTTAAATTTCAAACTAGATTATTACCAGCAGATATTTACTTGGGTCCTAACAAACCGATGTGAGCTCATGAAATTTGCAAAAATGAAACAGCAAATACATCAGTAGAAAATGTGATTTTATTAAAAGTACAATGTACACATTTACTTTGAATTCTCTGTTATGATAATATAGATCTATTGCTTAATTAAAATCACCTCTTTATTTCATATGTTGAACATCTAACTAAATGTATAAATTTCAAAAATCATGAAAGGTTTTAAAAGGTGAAATAACATTCCTTTTACTTACTTCCTAGGCAGTAACACTTTAAATTACATCGTTTTATTTCTTGTAGAAGTCTCACATGCATATTGATATAAATTTAACAAAATAGATATTTCCAAGCCCTGATATATTTTGTCATAAGTATTTAGAATAGTAAATATTTTTAAAACCAGGACATTGCTGCTAAAAGTACCGACTGTGATTTACTGAGAAGCAATTCAGCAAAATTATCTCCTAGAACAATTGCTATGAAGTAAACTTGATCAAATAAATAAGTCATAAGCACATATTAATTAAAGTAGAAGAAACAAAATAGAATTTTGGACATGGAAATAAAGTATAGAAAGGAGAAAATTAAGGTTCACATTAAAAAAGATCAAGTAATAATCATCTGTTTAACAAGTAGGCTATTTTTTAGCATGATACCCATCAGCATGGTTTTTTATGCAAAACATCAAAGTTTTCAATGACTAAATATTACTTAAGGGTGAAATTCTCAAATACTTTTAATTACCTCTTTTAAAATAATAACCTCAATTAATCTTGTCAGTATATGCGTTTCTTTCACATAGTACTTATACGTCAAAATATTGTTAAAGCTTGATGTACATAGTTTATAGGGCTCTGTCAAGAATGAATCCAGCTTGATTATATAAGATATTTTATGTAAACAGAACATGAAAAATTGCTTATTGTTAACCTTGTACTTCAGATAAAGGGTTGACTAAAATTTTCATTGCAATGGATAGAAATGCAAAGAAATGAGGGACGAGATAACAAGTTCAAGCATCTTTAATCTTTGATCACTGTCTTCCAATATCCACCCTTATCTTAAGTGTAAAAGAGCATTAGAAAGGAAAAGAAGGAGGAGGAGGAAAAAAGGTAGAAGCGATGGCAAAAAAAGAGATTTAAAAAAAACAGAATGTAAATTCCAACCTCAATGAGATCCCCTATATAATGTCAGCTAGATGACATGATCAGGACTATTTTTCCCTTGTCAATAGGCTGTGGAGTTGGAGGCAGACAGACAGTATCTTACATATTTTCCTCTAAAACCAAACCAACATCTTCCATCTTGCCATTCAATTGATGTGGAAAGTCTAGCCTAGTGAGAAACTAGCAAAATAAGACATAAGCTAGTGACTGAGAGCTTGCTCCAGCCACAGAAAAAAGCAGGCCTAGCACCAATTCCCAAATGAAAGCAGTCTCCAGACTAAACATGGATGAACTAAAAGAGTGACCAATGAAACTTCTCGGCCAAGCTTCATGTCCCAGCATCCAAAAAGTCACATTGCTCAGACCCAGATTCATCTATGCTGCTTGGCTGAGTCTTCAATCTCAACTGTAACAGTGTTTTGAATTTCACTAATCTGTAACAGTGTTTTGAATTTCATTAACCTAGAGCAGTGTTTTGGTGGCCTTGGAGTAGAAAAATAATGAGATAGAAATATTTACCAGTATCAAGATTGCTTTCCCTAGAATTCATTGCAGTAAGGGAGAATATTATCCTGGCAGTTTTAGCAGTGTCTCAAAAAAGGGAAATCAGAGGGAGGTTTTTATTGGATTTGGAGATTTAGGTTTAAATGGTTTAATTTGGATCTTTCAGTGTAGGGTTAGCCAGTTTTGACATTAGTTTGGCATGGTGGATTAGAGTAGTGATGGTCTTGAAATAAATGTTGGTAAGTAAATTATTGTGTGAATAAGTGAACTCCTTGTCTAGCCCAGCAGACTACTCTGCATGAGATGCCTGAAACAAAAAATAAAGTTAGGTGTAGGTTTATAAAGTATTATCTTTTCTGGACAAAGGGCATAGGAAACAAACTAAATCATGTTGATAAAAGTGGTCTCTGTTCTTAGTCTTAATAAGTACGATGTTCTGGTGTAGTTTTTCACAGTTTTCAGATGAAATCAATGTTCTGGTTTTGGATTATAAGATTGATAACGGACAATTCTCAAACCAAATGATTTTCATTGTAGAAAAAAATTGTAATTAAAAATACTGAACTTGCTCCTGATAATGTTTTAAATCCTAGCGTGATATCTTAAATGTGATTTTGTGAACTCCTGAAATTATATCACAGCAGGAAAACTGCTTAACCCACTGAAATATGATGCATAAATTGTTCTCCCTTATTACAAATTTCTTATCATTATATAATGTTTTAATAAATGTAATGCTTGTCAGAAGTATTTTAATTTATTAGAGTATGTGCAACTTTTAAAAGTCATTTAAAAGTTAATAATTAAAATACAGTACATGTGACGATTTAAATTATGGTTAGAGATATTGTTAGCAGAGAAGGAGATTTATTGCATTCTATAAAAAGTCAATAGCAGAACTGAGATAGACCACAATCTACTTAAGGAGCACATATATACAATATACATGCATAAATAGATGATAAATTGTTTTTAGCAAGTAAGTAATGTATCTTCTAGTAAAAGCTTAACAATTCTTTTCTCTCTTCCTTCAGGAACTAGAGTTCACTAGGAAGTAGATAAGACATTATAGTGTTTCTGCATATTGAATAGTTTTAATTATCCATTATTAGTAAAGCCCTTAGTTAAGTACTTCTACTTTGTTGACATGGTTTGACTTTGTCCCCACCCAAATCTCAACTTGAATTTTATCTCCCAGAATTCCCATGTGTTATGGGAGGGACTTAGAAGGAGGTAATTGAATCACGGAGGCAAGTCTTTCCTGTGCTATTTCCATGATAGTGAATAAGTATCACGAGATCTAACGGATTTATCAGGGGTTTCCACTTTTGCATATTCTTCATTTTCTCTTGCCACCACCATGTAAGAAGTGCCTTTCATCTCCTGCCATGAATCTGAGGTCTCCCCAGCCATGTGGAACTGTGAGTCCAATTAAACTTCTTTTTCTTCCCAGTCTCAGGTATGTCTTTATCAGCAGCATGAAAACTAATAGTAAATTGGAACTAGTAGAGTGGGGGCACTGCTGAAAAGATATCTGAAATGTGCAAGTGACTTTGGGACTGGGTAGGAGCAGAGGTTGGAACAGTTTGGAGGGCTCAGGAGAAGACAGGAAAATGTGGGAAAGTTTGGAACTTCCTAGAGACTTGTTGAATGGCTTTGCTCATAATGCTAATAGTGATATTGACAGTAAGGTCCAGGTTGAGCTAATCTCAGATGGAGATGAGGAATTTGTTGGGAACAGGAGCAAAGGTGACTCTTGTTAGGTTTTAGCAAACAGACTGGCAGCATTTTGCCCCTGCCCTAGAGATTTTTAGAACTTTGAACTTGAGAGAGATGATTTAGGGTATCTAGTGGAAGAAATTTCTAAGCAGCAAAGCATTCAATAGGTGACTTGGGTGCTATTAAAGGCATTCAGTTTTATAAGGGAAATAGAACAGGAAAGTTCAGAAAATGTGCAGTCTGGCAATGCAGTAGAAAAGAAAAGCCCTTTTTTTTTGAGGATAAATTCATAAATTCAAGCCAGCTGCTGAAATTTGCTTAAGTAACAAGGAGTCTAATGTTAATCCACAAGACCATGGGGAAATGTCTCTAGGCCATGTCAGACCTTCAAGGCAGCCCCTCCCATTACAGGCCTGGGAGCCCAGGAGGAAAAAGTGGTTTTGTGGGCCAGGCCCAGGGTCTTTGTGCTCTATGCATCCTCAGGACTTGGTGCCCTGTGTCCCAGCCACTCCAGCCATGGCTGAAAGGGGCCAAGGTAGAGTTCAGGCTATGGCTTCAGAGGGTGAAAGCCCCAAGCCTTGGCAGCTTCCATGTGGTATTGAGACTGCAGGTGCACAGAAGTCAAGAATAGAGGTTTGGGGACCTCCGCTTAGATTTCAGAAGATGTATGGAAATACCTGGATGCCTAGAAAAAAGTTTGCTGCAGGGGCAGGGCCCTCATGGAGAATCTCTATTAGGGCAGTGCAGAAGGGAAATGTGGGGTCGGAGCTCCCACAGAGTCCCTAATGGGGCACTGCCTAGTGGAGCTGTGAGAAGAAGGCCACCATTCTCCAGATCCCAGAAAGGTAGATCCACTGGCAGCTTGCATTGTGTGCCTGGAAAAGCCACAGACACTCAACACCAGCCTGTGAAAGCAGTGAGGAGGGAGGCTGTTTCCTGCAAAGCCAAAGGGGAGGAGCTGCCCAAGACCATGGGAACTCACCTTTTTCATCAGCATGACCTGCATGTGAGACCTGAAGTCAAAGAAGATCATTTTGGAGCTTTAAAATTTGACCACCCCACTGGATTTCAGACTTGTATGGGTCCCGTACCCCCTTTGTTTTGGCCAGTTTCTCCCATTTGCAATGGCTGTTTTACCCAATTTCTGTACCCCCATTGTATCTAGGAAGTAACTAACTTGCTTTTGATTTGACAGGCTCATAGGCTGAAGGGACTTGCCTTGTCTCAGATGAGACTTTGGACTGTGGACTTTTGGGTTAATGCTGAAATGAGTTAAGAGTTTGGGGGACTATTAGGAAGGCATGATTGGTTTTGAAATGTGAGAATGTGAAATTTGAAGGGGCCAGGGATCAATGATATGGTTTGGCTTTGTCTGCACCCAAATCTCAACTTGAATTGTATCTCCCAGAATTCCCACATATTGTGCGAGGGCCCCGGGGGAGGCAATTGAATCATGGGGGCTGGTCTTTCCCATGCTATTCTCGTGGTAATGAATAAGTGTCACAAGATCTGATAGTTTCATCAGGGGTTTCTGCTTTTGCATTTTCCTCATTTTCTCTTGCCACTGCCATTTAAGAAGTGTTCTTTGCCTCCTGCCATGATTCTGAGGCCTCCCCAGCTATGTGGAACTGTAAGTCCAGTTAAACCTCTTTTTATTCCCAGTCTCAGGTATGTCTTTATCAGCAGCATGAAACTGGACTAAGACATTTGTTAAGTATGAATTGAATGCATCATTGAGGAAAACTTCTTATTCAGGTGTTTATTCAAGTGTTTATAACTTCTTATTCAAGTTTATTCAAGTGTTTATAACAAATCTTGACTTGATAAATGTATACTGAGCGCCTGCTACATATGGATCAAGCAATATTCCAGGCACTATGAGCAATCAAAAACAAACTAAAAAATAGAAAAACCTATGTTCTCATAGAGTTTACCATTAAACAAGAAGACGTATAAAATAAACAAATAAATAAGTTCTATGGAATTTCAGATGATGGTACACACAAAACAGAAAAATAGAACAGTGAAGGGTAATACTCTGAATATACCAGGAATTCTGAACAAAGCAGTATCAAACCAAAGGGCAAAAGTTGGTTCTTGGAGGCCAGAAATATCACATAACACAATATTTTGTGGTTCTCCAAAACTCAAAAACATCTGAAAAAAATCTTATTCTAGTATTTAATTTATCTCATTAGTTTTATTTTTATCTTTCTTTATAGGACATAATGGAAAACAAAATTGTTTAAAGACATTAAGATATACCATTTCATATTGAGGTTACTTACTAAATTCAAACAAATATTTATGTATGGCGAGGAATCACATTTTTGGACCATTGTAAAGCCTCTACTATGTTAAAAATTTTTCAAATAGAAGATAGTAACTCATATTTTTCAGATATTTTCATGAACAAATGAGTTTTATTTGACAATTAGTACCTCACATTGTAAATCTGCTTGAAAAGGCAAATGTCTAAAATTAAAATTAAATGAAAAAAGTTTTTTTATTCAACATGCATAAATATAAGCTTAGAAAATGACTTATCATTTCATAAAGTAGAAAACCATCTAAATTGTGCTTTCCAATCATATTTTTGTCTATATCAAACTGTAACAAAGTATATGTGAAAAATATTGTTTTCAAGAGAATAAAATGTTAAGAAAACACCGAAAGACCTAATTTTCTGTAACCTTCAGATTAAATTTACTCATGGATAGATATGTTCATAAACTTTTATAAATTTTATTTTGAATATGAATTTCCAGCTCCTTTGTTTGCAAGTGTGTGAACGAGTTTACCAGTACAAAAATCAAACATAAAATGTGCTTCCTTATATATATGTGAATGTGTTTTTCTTTTCCTGATGTTAACAAATCAATTGCAGCAATTATTTAGGATGATATAAAATGAAGGCCCAGTTTCAAATATTGGATTAGTTGAAGAAACTTCATCTTTCTTTTTGGTGTACCTTATAAGAAGTGATTATTCCAAAATTGTATTCAAAACATATATGTTCCAGTAAAATGTGTTTCACTGGTTTTGATATTTAAGCATTTAGGTATTTAAGTAGAAACTTGCTGCTTTCAAAAAGCAAACAGAACATAACCAAGCTGCAACAAAAATAACAAACTTAAATGAATAACACTATTCAAAGAATAATAACCAAACAAACAGAAAGTAAGGAAATGACACAGCAATTCATTATTTCTTTAAGACGAAAGAAAAATGCAAGACCTAGAGAATAAAGAAAGAATAACGAAACATTTAAAATACATGAAAATCCTTTGATTTTTTTTGAATAAAATGCTTTCAAGAACACTTGTGGTTTTGTTTTCTGTTCATATGCTTTGGTTTTCTGATTCCTAAGTTCTGCAAATGACATTTATTGTTAGTAATAACTTAATAAGAATTTAGGCATATATTGTTTTATTTCTATGTTAGTAAGCATGCCTTCTATTAAAGCAGTATTTTTATATTTTTGTATGTAATCTATAATTAAAATTTAGGTTTAGTCAAGGACAACATTTTTTAAAAAAGTAAATTTTAGAAGATTATATATAAGAGGATGGACAACTCTCTTATAAAGGCTATTTTATATAATTTAAAAGAGTTTTAAAATAAACATATAAACAGTTTTAAAATAAATGTAAATAATACAATCTTCATTTTATGTTGAGATGAGTTATGATGGTACTGGTTAATTATTTAAAGGTTTTGATGAATGTATATGTAAATGCATTATATCT
Organism: Homo sapiens; assembly: GCF_000001405.40. NCBI lineage: Eukaryota > Metazoa > Chordata > Mammalia > Primates > Hominidae > Homo > Homo sapiens. Next base: position 83,110,298 of record NC_000013.11, read on the forward strand.
AGTATTGTATACAGGGCAACTATAGCCATTCCTCTGAAAGCTAAAGTATAAAATTAATTCCCTGACCTCGGTCTCTTTTAGAGTGGTGATCAAGTAAGAATAGTGCACCATTACAGTGAAAGACAAACACAAAATGCATTCTCTTTCAAATTTTTTAACACTCTACAGTTGCTGGAAAGTGAATTGTCCTCATGAGAAAAAGCATTTACTACCAAACCGTTATGTTGAAATGAATTCTAAAATGTATTTTTTGCTTATTAATGATTACATTAGAATGGATTCACAAACTTTTGAAAACCAGATACCTGCTGCGTTTTCAAAAAATAATATGGTTTGAAATCCACTTAAAAGGTGTACCACTAGCTAATAAATCTAGAATTAAAAAAATTTGATCATTTACTTTTACATCAAATTCTATAAGCATAAATTATACACTCCCACCTTACTGAGTATAATTGAAAATGAGACAGAATTCAGAAAAAAAAGTTATTTTAGATTTGTTTTTAACTATGCATGTTTTTAACTACATCACTTCAGCAGCCTGTCTTAGTTAATGTATTTGTAAAAGGGCAATAAAAATTTAGATAATTAACACATTCTTAACAATAAATATTATAATCTTAATGTGGTGATTGCCTAAACAGTTTTCATGGCCTTAGAATTGACTCAGGACTTCTTGTGAACTTGAAAATAAATCTATTCTAATTCAATCATAAAAATAAACTCACTACATTGAAATCACATCTCTATGTTATGATATAAAGACATTCACTACATTGGCATATTTGTTTGGGGGGAATGACAAAGTAGGTACTAGATATAATTTGAAATGGAGTAAAATGTCTTATGTCGCAAGTTCCAAAGATTCATCATTAAATTCATTTTATCACTGATTCTTCATGAGAAAACAGACATTTGGCAAAGTTGATATTTTACAAGATAAATTTACAACATGTTTTTATTTTGCTGAGGAAATGGTGGTGTTCTAGGTGGTGAAAGTTTGCATAGCACACTTCGTTGTTCTGCAAATTGATATATTGGAATACTTAGCAACTTGGGAGATAACAAAGAATTAGAGCATTCTTTCGAAGACAGATACAGAAGTTGAAAGCTATAGGAAAAAAGTGGGAGAAAGTAAAAATCAATGCATTCAACATATTTTGTCAACAATCATTTATTGAGATATTTCTATTTGCTAGAATTATGGTTCTGGTAATATTACAATACATGTTAAAAATCCAGGCCAATGAGATCATAATCAGTTGGCTAGTTCAAAGTTTACTAGCATAGGATAAACAAAACACAAAACGGAGATATAAAAAGTCATATTGTAAAGTGAAGATAACTTAAATAACTATGGTTATTTTTAAACAAATAATATATTCTCTGTGAATTAAATATTTTGCCCTTCTAAAGAACACTCTATACCCATAAATAGGTTATCTAACTAAAAGTAGACATGTGCTGATACAAATTTTTCCAATCATATATCATAATATTATCAGAAAGCAAAGCAAGTACTCAAAACAATTGACAACTAATTGCAATATTACAGTCTGAATATAAATGTTAATATAAAATGTGACTATTTGGAATACTATTTGATGTATAATGGACATCTACAGCACAATTTTAAACAGAACATACATTGATGATATGGCTATCTTAATTTTTCTTATCTTGAGTGACTATTCTGTATGTGTTTATACAGATGATTTATAATTTTTTCTTCCATCTGACAACTATTTATTGGCCTAAGTGAAAACTTCAATGAGACCAGAAGTTATTTTGTAGATTGAATTAATTAATTAGATACTATTATAAATAAAATAATTTAATTCAGTAGAAAACATTACTGTATGTAATAACAATTAATAAGAAAGGAGTGTTTTTGGTTGATCCAAGCATTATAATTACTGTCAATAATGTAATTTATTTATATCTCTCTGAACTTAAAGTACTTTGCTATTAGGGCTTTAGACTAAACTAAGATGTATTGTGTAAATAGAATTTCAACAAATAATATGAATAGGAAGTAAATAGGAAGGACAAAAGGAAAAGTAAAGAAGAGCATAAATCAGACTATTCTTCCATTTTATATAATATTGGGGATTTTAGAGTTTAACAATTTCCAAGTTACTTCATAAGAAAAAAAAAATATATATATATATATAGTTACCAGATAATATACCATGATTCATTTCCCAAAATATGCCTAACACAGGCAACTTTAATGCTATTATTAAGTAAATAACAAGTAGCCTATAATCCCAGCACTTTTGGAGGCCGAGTTGGGTGGATCACTTGAGGTCAGGAGTTCGAGACAAGTGTGGCCAGCATGGTGAAACCCCATCTCTACTAAAAATATAAAAATTAGCCAGGTATGGTGGTGGGTGCCTGTAATCTCAGCTACTAAAGAGGCTAAGGCAGGAGAATCGCTTGAACCTGGGAGGCAGAGGTTGCAGTGAACTGAGATCACGCCACTGCACTCCAGCCTGGGTGACAGAGTGAGATGTCTCAAAAAAAAAAAAAATTAAAGGTTATCTGTAGGCAATAATTAAAGGAATTATTATCTGTAGGAATTTATTTTCCTATCTAATATCCTCATGGCAAACACCCTCATTTGTTTCTAATAATTTTACGTATTATCTGCCTTTGGGGTCTAGCTTAACTAGACTATTTACTTACATATTTTATAATTGACAAATCAAATTGTATATATTTACTATGCAGAACATTATTTTGAAGTCTATTTCTATTGTGGAGTGACTAAATCTAGCTAATAAACATACATTTTCTCATATAATTATCATTTTTGTGGTGAGAATCCTTTATACCCATCCTCTTATCATTTTTCAAAAATATATTTTTAACTATAGTCACCATGCTGTACAAAAGATCACTTGAACTTTTTCCTTGTATCTAACTGAAATTTTGTGTCCTTTGTTCAACATCGCCCCCAAACACTCACTCAATCACCCCAGCCCCTGGCAATCAACATTCTGCTCTACGTCTCTAAAGTATAGTTTTTTAGATTTCACATATGAGTGATATCATGCGATATTTGTCTTTCTGTGTCTGGTTTATTGCAATTTACATATTGTCTCCTAGGTTCATCTATGCTGTTGCAAATGTCAGGATTTAATTATTTCTGAAAGCTAAAGAGTATTTCAATGTGTATATGGACCACATTTTCTTTATCCATTCATTCAATGAATGGATTGAATGTGAGGAACTGTGAATGTGAGGAACTGTGAGGAATATGAGAGTGCAAATATCTCTTCAAGCACTGATTACATTTCCTTTGGATATACACCCAGTAGTGGGATTATGGGATCATAGGCTAGTTCTATTTTTAATTTTTTGAGGAAACTTCGTACATTTTTTCATAATGGCTATACTAATTTACATTTCTACCAACAGTCTGCAAGGATTCCCTTTTCTGTACATCTCTGCCAATACTTATTCACCTATTTGATTATAGCCATTCTAACCTGTGTGTGATGTTATATCATGGTGGCTTTAATTTACATTTCCTTGATTATTAGGGATGTTGATTAGTGCATTTTTAATGTACCTTCTGATCATTAGTGTGCCTTACTCTGAGAATCTTTCATTCACATCATTTCTCTGTTTTTAAATTGGCTTATTTGTTTTCTGACAAGTGAGTTGTTTGAGCCTCTCATGTATTTTGCATATTAACCTCTTATCAGATGAATAATGTGTGTATATTTTCCCCCACTATTTACTTTGTCTTTTCACTCTGTCAATTGTTTGCTATGCAGAAGCTTTTAGTATGATGTAATCCCATTTGTCTATTTTTGTTTCTGTTGCCTGTACTTTTGGGGACATATCCAGTAAAACACTACCCAGATCAATGTCATGGAGATTTTTCCTTGTTTTATTTTAGTAGTTTCATAGGTACAGGGCATATACTGTCTTTCATCTATTCGGATTTGATTTTTTTATATGGTATGAAATACATGTCTAATTTTATCCCTCTGTATGATGATATCCAGTTTTACCAATAACATTTACTGGGTGGGGTGCAGTGGTTCATGCCTATAATCCCAGAACTTTTGGAGGCCGAAGTGGGTGGATCACCTGAGGTCAGGAGTTCGAGATGAGCTTGGCCTCATCTCTACCAAATGGTAAAACCTCGTCTCTACTAAAAAAGTACAAAAAAATTAGCTAGGTGTGGTGGCATGTGTCTGTAGTCCCAGGTACTTGGAAGGCTGAGGCACGATAATCACTTCAACCTGAGGGGCTGAGGTTGGAGTGAGCCGAGATCATGCCACTGCACTCCAGACTAGGCAACAGAGTAAGACTCTGTCTCAAAAATAATAATAATAATAACATTTGATTGTATAAGTGTAGATTCATATCTAAGATCCTTATTCTTTTCCACAGGCCTATGTGTCTATTTTTATGCTGGTGTCATTCTGCTTTGCTTACTATAGCCTATGACACCTTTTTAAGCCTGGTAGTGTGATACCTCTAGCTTTATTCTTTCAGCGTAAGATTGCTTTAGGTATTTGTGGTCTTATTCAGTTTCATACACATTTTAGCATTGCTTCTTATATTTATATGAAGATTATCTTGGTATTTTGATAGAAATTGTATTGAATTTTTCATCATTTTGGGTAGTATAAACATTTTAACATTAATTCTTTCAATAAATGAACATATAATATCTTTACATTTATTTATGTCTCAACTTCTTTGACGAATGTTTTTTTTTCAGTACACAGATCTTTGACTTTCTTGGTTAAATTTATTCCCAAACACTTAATTTTCATTGTGATTGTAAATAGAATTGTTTTCTTAATATAACTTTCAGATAATTTGCTGTTAGTGCATAGGAACACTACTGATTGTTGTATGCTGGTTTTGTTTCCTCCAAATAAGCCTTTGGAGAATATGGCTCAGAAAATATTGAGAAAACACTAACTAGGCCATAGTCCTGATTTCTACATGGCAGAAAACACTGCAAAATGATGTGATGAGAAGATGGCTGACTCCTCTTTAAAGAAACTGAATGATGAACTCATACATAATGCATCTAGAAAATGGTATACATGGGACTCTAATTAATGAATCATATTTTAGAAAGTGTTACCTCTACAGCAAATGATTTATGAAGAAATTTAAATAAATTATGAATAGTGACCATCTTTACCAATCAATTGTTGATCAGTAATTATTTGTTATAAATATCTATTGATGGTCATAATTAATAATTTATATGATTAATATATAAATTTAAATAAAAAAAGTGAATCACTGAGTATTTAAATAGATTCATGTTTCTATGCCAGTAAATGATTAATAATAGTGTTTTAGAACTATAACATAAAGGAGGTTTTAAATTTCAGATATGAAATCTAGTTGTACAGATGATTACATTAAAAATATTTATTGAGAGACTACTGTGAGCTAGGCACTATTCTGGACACTGAGATATAGAGTAGATAGATAGATAGGTAGATAGATAGATAGATATAGATAGATGCTAAAGACAAACAGTAAAAAACTTGAATATGTAAATTATTCATTCTGTAGGTCCATTTTCACTCTGTTCTTTGCTTCCTTTGTTGTGCGGAAGCATTTTAGTTTGATTTTAAGTACTAGTTTTTTCTTGAAAACACACAGAGCCTGTATTATTTATATTTTGTTTTCACTACTAAGTCAATCATTATAAGGCTATCCAAAATGTTAAGAATCACGGCTAAATATTGTCTGTCAATTCTAAGACAAAGGGTCATGTCAGGATTAAGAAAATAATGATTATATTGATATAAATTATTAATAGAAAAATAATGATGTGTCATTACTATTTTTACTCTTTTGTTTGTGAGTAGATTAATTTTAAATGTAGCTCTAGGAGCTAAAATGCTAATATATTCATTACTTTCCAAGTCTTCAATTAAGAATTGTATTTGCTAAAGTTTTATGACTTCTGTTGTCTTAATATTGATATGTCAAATTTATCTCAAAGGCTTTTTATATTATATTTTTAAAAATATTTCAGATACTTTTTATTAATATTAGATTTTATTTTAAAACTATTTTCATAAATCCAAATATAATTGATTTAAATAGTAGTAAGATCTTAGTTTTCCATTACCATACAGAGCTTGTACATAACTGAAAGCAAATTAATTTTTCTCCACAAATTTTGCTGTTAAGAACACATTTTTGTTCTTAACATAGCAAAAGATTTTAACACAGTTTTTCTTGGAAGAAATTTAGTAAGAGGCAATGCTTCTAGCTTGTGTAAATCTCTAAACTCTATCATGTCTGTGCCCAATTTTGATAAAAATTGAAAGCACTCAAATCAAATTTCTAAAATATCTAGAATTTTAAATGAAACTTTAAACAGAGAAAACATTTCAAATAAAAGGTAGATTCCATAACAAAATTGTAATGAGCATTTAAAGTATCTTCATTTGAATACTGACCATGTTTCAAAGTTTAGGTATTTTTGCTTTGAGCTGTGGAGACACGTTTTTTCTTTAGTAATTTAACTACATTCGAAGCCACTGTTCTCAGTGATATGAAACGGCAAAAGACAGGAATAATTGTTTTGAAAGTGGATGCAAAAGCACCCCTCCCATAACTTTTACACATAAGAATAGACACTTCTCCCTTCTTTGGAATTCTATCTGCTGAATTTTGAACATAGACCTTCTTCTGTGGAGGTAAATGACTTTCTACAAATGGGGAACATTTAATAACCTACTCAGTTAATAGCTTACTAGGTTACTCCTGCATTTTTTATGAGAAAATGTTTTACTCATCTATTGCCACTTCTTTTAGTGATCGGTGTGTTTCAGATGCCTTTGTCCTTCTCCTGAGACAAAACTCTCTCTACTTTGTTTTCTTTACTCTCATGGCCCTTAGATCGTAACACTGTCTGCTCATCTCTGATTGACAGACCTCGGAGACTCTGTCAAGGCTGCTGGTCCCCAATGCCATTAAACTGTCATTCATCTTCCCAGCTTCACAACTCTAAAAAGAGTTTTCCATTACTATTAGCTCACCTGGAGAGTGTGTTCTCTTTCTGTAGTACTTGCGTCTTTTATTCTAAAGGTGGCTTTATCTTTGATATAGTCAAATGTGTTTTAACAAAAATAACTTTGAGATATATGTGTGTGTATATGTATATATAAATTGATAAAATTGTATATGTTTGTGGTGTATGACATAATGTTTTGATAAATGTACACATTGTGAAGTGGCTAAGTTAAGCTAATTAGCTTATTCATTATCTTACCACTTTTGAGATAAAAACACTTAAAATCTACTATCTTAGCAATATTCAGGTATATAATATACTTTTATAAACTACTGTTACCTTATGGGGTACAATAGTTCTCTTGAACTTATTCTTCATGTTTAACCAAAATTTTATATCATTTCATCCACATCTCCCCTACCTCTCACTTTGGGTTACTGCCATTTTGTTCTTTGTTTCTATAGGTTTAATTTTAAGATTCCACTCCTAAGTCAAATTTTATGATATTTACCTTTCTGAACCTGGCTTATTTTACTTAATGTCCTCCAGGTTCATCTATATTGTCAATAAAATGACAGGAATTCCTTCTCTATATGGCTGAATAGTATTCCCTTGTGTATATGTATATATCATGTTTTCTTTATTTCTTTATCCACTTATGGACATCTAGGTTGATTCATATCTTGGCTATTGTTAACAATGCTGTAGGGAACATAGAAGTTCAGATATCTCTTCGACATACGTGTTTCATTTCTTTAGGGTATATATATACTCAGTAGTGGATGGTGGATCACATGATAATTCAATAAAGATTTTTGATTTAAATTTTTCTTACTGAAATTTACATGTTTTTCAAAGTAAATGTATAACAAATAGCAAGACTGTTAGAGAAATAAGTATCATTATTTAAATAGTTGGTTTACATTACAATTCCTTATCTTATTTTTTGACATTTTCCAGGAGTCTCAGTCCATTAGCGCTGCTCTAACAAAATACTTCAGACTGGGTCATTTACAAATAATACAAATTTATTTCTCATAGTTTTTAAGCTGAAAAGTCTAAGGTTCAGGTGCCAGTAGATTCAGTGTCTGGCACAGCCTTGCTCTCCACTTTCAAGATGGTGCCTCTTGCTGTGTCCTCACGTGCCAGTGTTTGTTTGTATCTTGATTGTCTAATTATCTGCGCATTTGATGTGGGTAGTTCTGTTTTACGCCTTGTAAGGATTACTTTTCGATTAGAGTACAATCTCTTATGAAAACTGTGGGTTTGAGCTTTGAACAATAATATGATAGCATCATGGACTGTTCACTTTCTCATTATTTAATTTTGCTATAATCAAACTTCTAAAATTTAAAATACTGGCTTCTAATTTTTCATGAGAATTATTCCAAAGCTTGTGAGACTGCATATCCTAAGGACTCAGTTGTCAAAATTTCAATAAAGAAGTCATTTAAGGAAGGAGTATCAGGGGTGCTTTGAAATTGTGTGCAGACTAATATGCATACAATCTGGGAGCCCTGTTAGAAGAAAAATCACACAAATTTACAAATACAAATTTAGAGCCATGGAAGATACTCATTCAAGTGAGAGTCCATACAGCTTAAAGTTTATTAGCTTCATGGTAAGTCCAATTTTACTAAAGAATATATATTTCAAAAAACTTCCCAGGTGATTCAAAGGTGTGAATTCTATAAACCATGCTTTTGAATTTTTTTCTTCTAACTTCGCATGATCAAGTTCAGATAGTTGCTATAAGTTTTTACACATGTATATGTATACACATGGTTTGGACATGGGAGAAATTATTCAAAAATAGTTATTTCTGGATACAAAACTTGACTTCTCACTTTATGTTAAATACTACATCTCCAAATTTAAATAAAGAGCTCCATTAAATGTTATTTCATGGGAATGCCATATGTTTGGTAGGTAATACACATTAATCAATCTATTCATAAATATTTGAAATTATTTTTAAGTAGAACTATTGAAACCTAAGTTAATACATGAATATTAAATATATGGCTCCAGATTTGTAAGGCAGACAATTCTGATAAGAGCTTTCTGTCAACATAATTATTTTTCTTTTTTAAGTTTTCTAAATTTAAATTGACAAATAAATGAAAGAAGACTTTGTAAGTATTTATTAAGTGAACACTTTCATGTCAAAGTCCACTCTGTCTTATCATCATCAGCCAAAAATTATTGAGAGCTTGAAAAATATTTTATTTTATAAGTACCAACACTATTTATTAGTCACTGTCATTAAGTTTGTATTTCACACATAAATACATAATTGTGTATATAAATGGCTGCTTTTTTTCTCTTCCATATATCAGAATAGCATAACTCACTTTCAAGTAAGCATAATCTCACTTTCAGGAGGTACTTCAAAACCTTCATTTGTATTAAACAAATAATTCCAAGTGTTCTTGTATACATTTGACCTCCATTTAGCAGTGGGACTCAGCTTTCTCTGAGTTCTCAAGTAACTGCCTTACTTAAGCAAAAGTAAAATATAAAATAGTCTCAATATTAATTGAGACTGTTAATGACTCTTTTTCAAAATATGATGTCTTAATAGAGTGAATATCAATATTTAAACATACAACCTCTTTACAGATCAATAATGGTTTGTCCCTTAAATTCTGATACAATTATTTTTTCATTCAATTAGCTAATTGCTTTTATAGATTACATAGACATACATATATACATATGTATATATATTTTGTCTTTTCATAGTAGTTTTACACTTGGCTTATATGATGTAACTTTAATCACAGGATGAATTCTTAAGTTGAAAGTGATACCAATATTGTAAAACAGCTTCAAGCTCCAGAGTTGTGCATTTGAAATATCAAATGTGATTCATAATTTAGTAGACATTGAATTTTTTTACATTTTTCATAAGAAATTGAATGAGTTTTCCTAAAAGTAGTACATTGTGGTATGTTGTACAGATGGTATATTATACATTTTGGGAACATTAGTAGATTTTTGTAAAAACTAATTTTTTTCTACTTAAAGAGAAAAAAGGCAACTTGGGTAATTTCTGATTCAAACGAGGTGACATGAAACAGTTTTTTCCTGGCTTCTCCTCACTAACCACCATGATCATCCCTGGAAATGGTACAAGAGATAATCAAAAGAGGACTCTGAAATGTGGTAAGAAAAAGGCAAGCTGATTTGGGATCTCAGGACTGGACAAAAAGCACAGAGACAGGGCATCTTGGGTCTTACTTCTCAAAGAAGGCAATTTCGATCCTACATTGCAACAAAATTTGTTTAGAAACACATGTGTTTAGTCTCTACTCCCAGTCCCTGACACAGAGCTTCTAAATCCCTTGGAATTCAAGGTGATAGGAGTGTCTTGTTTAATGGGGTTTCTCTTGGTGAGCTTCTGGACAGTTTTTCAATGGAGGCTGGTCAGTAGAATGACCAAGCCATGATTAGAAGCTTGGCACTTTCAGTTACCCCCAGTCCCTATCCAGTGAGGCTGAAGATTGAATTGATTATCAATAGTGCATATATGATGAAGCCTGCATGAAGAGCCTAAACTCTGGTGTTCTGACACCTTCCAGATTGGTGAACACATTCATGTGAAGGGAGGGTGGTGAAACCCAACACCAAGAGACAGAATCTCCTCCACTTGGGATCCTTCTGGACCTTGCCCTACGTACCTCCTCATCTGGCTATTCATTTGTATGCTTTATAATATCCTTTATAAGAAACCATTAATAGAAAGTAACTTGTAATCCCTGAATGCTGTGAGCTATTCTAGCAAGCTATAGAACCAAGAAGGAAGTCACGGGATCTCTCCACTTGTCAGTCTGTCAGAAATACAAGAGGTCTAGACTTGTGATTGGCATTTGAAGTGGGGGTTGTTTTGTATGACTGAGCCCTTAATCTGTGGATTCTGTGTTAACTCTGAGTAGTTAGTGTCTCAGTTGAATTAAGCTGTAGAAAATCCAGTTGATGTGTACAGAAAACTGGAGCACAGCTTGGTGTGGAAAACCTACACATTTGATGTCAGAAGGGTTTCGAGTAGAGAAATGGCTTTTCTCTTAGTGTCAGAGAAGTGAGATGTGGTAACACAGCCTGTGACATAATTTGTGAAGAGAAAGAATGAAAAGTTAGAGAGCTGAGGAACTTTGATCTCTGGATGGATACTTAGTCACCTGTGGTATGAAACTGCAGCTGTGCTGTCATGAGTTACTAAAGGTAAAAGTTACCACCACGAATTAGAATTGGTGGTAGACCCAATTCTCAAGAAGTCAGCTCATTAGATAACTAAGGAAATGCAAAATAATAAGAAACATGCTAAACATACAATCCCTTGGTTATTGTTTTTTGTAATGGCTAAAATGAAAGAAGATGTTGGGTCAGGCCTTGATGCTCAACGGAGCTTAGACTCTGTTAGTCTGAGCTTCGGCCAGTAGCATTAAAGCTGCCTACAAAAGGAGAATTTATGCCATAACAACAGAAAGTACCTCTAAGGCTTCTAGTGATCAAGAAGATGATCCACATGAAGGGAGGGAAAATCTAAACTAAGAAACTACTGAAACCAGTTAAAAGAGTTGTCCCATATTGTAGGTCAGTATCATCAGCTTCCTGAAGAACCTTTACTGAAATCGATTTTAAGAGTGACTAATTTGGAAGTAGTGTATTTTATTTCAAATGCTGCAGAGTGGAAGAGCATATCTGGGCTGACACAAGACCTGCAGTTCGCTAGCATAATTACACATAGCTCTGTGTGATCCAGACACACAGGAAGTTATTCCCAAGGGAACAGCCAAGCCAGCCGAGTGGATCATATAAAAGGGACTTCCCAACTTCATCTGTAAATGTCATGTGAGACACTGCAGATAAAGCAGTTAGTATACTTTCTATGCAAGCTAAGTGGGACTGGCTTCAAAACGGCTGGGATGTTCACCCACTGAATATGCCTGTTCCTCACTGCCTTGCTGCATTTGGGTTGCTGTAACTGAATACCTTAGACTGGGTTGCTTATGGGCAACTAACATTTACTTCCCAGAGCCAAATGCACTGTGATTCTGAAAACTGCTAGTGAAGTTTTAATGGTGACTAAGGTTAGATTGGGAAGCTATGGTGATGCAATGATTAATGAGATTAGAGAAAAAGGTTAGATAAAAATTGTGAGTTTTTGTCACATATCCTTTGCCTGAACGTACTATTGAAATAGATATTATGTTTCACTTGGTATTTCTTTTCCCACCTAATACTGTAAAATAGAAAGTGCGAAAATCCTCTCTCAGACTAGTTTTAATTGAATAAGCTATCCAGGAACCAGTAGAACTGCCTGAGCCCATAGAAATTGTTAATTTAAAACTATATAGAATACCTAGATACCATTTTAATTAATGATATGAGTGATGGTTACTTTTATGTGCAACTTGACTAGGTTGAGGAATACCTAAGCCCTGGTAAAATGTTATTTCTATGTGCGTCTGTGAGTGTATTTCTGGAAGAAATTAGCTTTTCAATCAGTTACTGAATAAAGAAAATTGGCCGGGTGCGGTGGCTCACGCCTGTAATCCCAGCACTTTGGGAGGCCCAGGCAGGCAGATCACGAGGTCAGGAGATCGAGACCATCCTGACTAACATGGTGAAACCCCGTCTCTACTAAACATACAAAAATTAGCAGGGCATCGTGGCAGGTGCCTGTAGTCCCCAGCTACTCAGGAGGCTGAGGCAGGAGAATGGCGTGAACCCGGGAGGCGGAGGTTGCAGTGAGCCGAGATCATGCCACTGCACTCCAGTCTGGGTGACAAGGCGAGACTCCATCTCAAACAAAAAAAAAAAAAAAAAGGAAAAGAAAAAGAAAATCTGCTCTCACCAATGTGAGCAAGCATCATTCAAATCATTCAATTCCCTGAGGGCCTGGATAAAACAAAAAGTAAGAGAGAGGGTAAATGTGCTTTCTTTATGGAGCTGGGAAATTGTATTTTCTGCTGCCCTCAGATATGAGATCTTCTCTGGTTCTAAGGCCTTTCGACACAGACTGAACCACACCATCAACTTTCCTGGCTCTCTAGTTTGCAGATAGCATCCTGTGGGCCTTCTCAGGCTCCATAACTACACAAGTCAATTCTCATAGTAAATCCACTCTTACGTATCTATGTATACATTATATATCTATACAGAGTTCTCTAGTGAACCCTGACTAATACAACATGCTAGAAGCCGAAATGCTGGTAACAACACATTTTCTGTATAATAGCCCTTGTATGGCCTATAAAAAAAAATGAATGTCTCATGGAGACTAACAGGCTAGTGAGGCTTAAATTAAGTTGCACCTGACATAGCCTCATCAGTCCCAGACATGGTTTCCATAATGCAATAACTACAAAATGTTAAAAAAGACTGGTGCTTAGTGACTGATCTCACAAATGCTTTCTTCTATGTCTCAATCCTTGAAAAGTACCAACAGCAGTTTTATGTGTGACAGAGGCCAATTTACGTTTACTCTACTGCCACAGGGTTTATCTAAACTCACCAGTTTACTGTCATAATTAGGTCAGAAGAGATTTGGACTTAATGCAGGTGTATCCATGGAGACCCAAACTGTTGTGCTGTTGCTTCAAACAACACAAATTTATGATTTTACCATTCTGAAAATCTGAATTCCAAAATGTGTCTTACAGGGATAAAAATCGAGTTGTTGGCAGCGCTGAATGCCTTCTGGAAACTCTAGTGCTTTTTCTAACTTCTAGAGGCTTCCCTCATTCATTGGTTCATGGCCCCATTGCATCTTCAAAGCCAGCAGTCTCATGGTTCAAAACTCTGCTTCCTTCATCATAGCTCCTCTGACTCCTCTGACCCCAATTACATCTTCTAAAGACCTTGTGATTATAGTAAACCTATCTGGATAATCCAGGAAAATCACCCTCTTTTAAGATATTTAACTCAATTATATTTGCAAAGTCTACTTTTCCAAGAAAGAAAATATAGTCATGATTCAGGAGATTAACATGCAGACTTATCTGGATTCCATTATTCTGTCTACCACAGGTGACATGCAATGGTGATATAATGTATTAATATTTTTGATATGATGTGATGAGAATGGCATTTTGCCACTATCTTCCTCCCCAAAACAAATAACAATGGCCAAATCATGAGAACGAACAAAAGATAAATCCCAAATAAGGACATTTTACAAAATATCTAAGTAGCAGTCCTCAAAAGTTTCAAGGATATCACAAATTAGGAACATCTGAGAAATGGTTCAGCTAAGAGGAACCTAAGGAGGCATGATGAGTAAATGTAATCTAGTATACAGTATGCCATCCTAGAATAGAGAATGGATATTAGGCAAAAACTAGGAAAATTTTAGGAAAGTGTGAAATTTAATAATGTATAAGTATTGGCTTGCTAATTTTGACAAGTATACCATAATAATGTTAATCATAGAAGAAACTGTGGCAAACTCTTTGTACTTTGTTGAGTGTGTACAATTTCTTTGTAAACCTAAACTGTTCTAAATTTTAAAAGTTTATTTTAAGAAGAAAAGAACAAACAACACTATGATAAAAATTAAACAAGTGCCTGGAAATCTCTAGGCCCAGATGGTTTTACTGGAGAATTCCATCAATCATTTACATAATTAACATAAACTTTACACATCTTTTTCTCCAAATAAAAGAGGATGAAACACTTTCCTATTCATTTTTTGAGTATTGTGCTGATATCAAAATGTGATGAGAATATAAAAAATAAAAACTATAGGCTAATATGCTTTATAAAATTATATGCTAAAAACAAACAAAACACTCAACAATATATTGGCAAACAGAATCAGAAAACTCATAAAGATTGATCTTTGACAAATATGTCCACCAAATTTGATAAAAGAAGAATACGCTTCTTAACAAATATTTCTAAACAATTTGATATTCACATAAAAAAACTTGACATCAATGAAAATTTCACACTTCATATAAAAGATAGCTAAGGATAGATTATGGACTTAAATGTAAAACATAAACTGTAATAAAAAAAAAACATAGTACAAAATGTTCCATAGGCACAGTGTTCCTAGACTTGGCACTAAAACACAATACATGAATGAAAATCCTGATAATTTGTACCTTATCAAAATTAAAACAGGATAAAATTGTTTTTTGAATGCCCATGTAAAGACATTGAAAGATTGGCTACAAACTTGAAGAAAACAGCCTCAAACCACTTATCCAAAAATGAATGGTATCTAGAATATATGAGGAATTCTTAAATCTCAAAACAGCTACAATACATTGAAAATATATTAACAGACATTTCAGTGAATAGGACATACAGGTAAAAAAATAAGCAATGAGAAAGTAATTAACATCAGCATTAGGTAAAATAAAGGAAAAGCAAAGCGAAATTCACTACCTACCTATTAAGATGAGAAAATAAAATATGATGCATATCATATTTAAGTTTTTATTTCTCAATTAAATTAATACATTTTAAAAATTAGTGACAGCAGCAAATTCAAGGCAAGAAGGGAGAAGCTGGATCTCTAATACTTTACTGGTGGAAATGTAAAATGGTACAGACACTCTGAGAAACAATTTGGCAATTTCTTATCAGAATAAACATGCAATTACCATATGACCCAGAAATTGCACCCTTAGGCATCTATCCCAGAGAAATAAACAAACACAATGTTCATGGCAGCTGTATTTATAATAGCAAAGAATTGGAATCCGTTCAGATGTCCTTCAACAGGTGACATGATTAAGCCATCTTTGTTACATATATATTATGAAATACTAAACAATAACAAGGAGCACAGGAACACATGCAGAGATCTAAATATATATTTGTATTTGTGCATTATATATGTAATTTAACTTTGCCAATAAATTAAATTTATAATAAAAATAAAAATATAATAAAAATAGTTGAGAAAGAAAAGTAAGTGACATGCAATTAGTATAAAAAGTTAAATGTGATCTAATGGAAAAATGGCTTCAACTAGATTAATCACAAAAGTCATTATAATAGAATTAGGTGTTGAGATAGGACTTAAAAAATGGAAACAAAAATCAGAGAACAGACATTGAGTCTTAATGAATTTGTTTTCCCAGGATCACTTTGCCCAGTAATTGAAGGCTTACAATTTTCTCCTTTTTTAATTGAAATCTGTATTAAAAATAATCTGAAAAGTCATATTCTGAATGGTATAGAGGAAAGTAACTGTAGCTGATGCATCCATGAAAGACTACATTACAAACCTTTACGGCCAATAGCAATGATTGTGCACCTACTCTGGATCAGACATTGGTCCTGCTTTTAGGGACAGGAAATAAATGTGATGATATATCTCTGCTATCATAATTTTACAGATGAGATTAAAAGATATGTACTGCAATATACAAATTGCAAGACAAAGCGGCTATGACCTATGTTCCTGAACAAAGACGTAAAATAATACACCACAATTAGATTTCTAACAATTAACCCTCTGTATTGGATGACAAAATAAATTAGAATATTGTGGATTTCTCTCTCTCTCTCTCTCTGAATCTCTCTCTCTGTCTCAGTGTGTATATATATGCACATAGATATACATATCTCTGTGTGTATAATATATGTATGTATATTATACACACACAGAGAGAGTACATATATACGTCTCTCTCTTTTTGTATATATATACATATATTCACATCTGTCTCTGAGTGTGTATACTATATACATATACACATACTAAGAGAGATGTAAATATATGTATATATACATACATATACACTGTGTACAAACATATATATACACTGAGTATATACACAGTGTATATATACAGATAGAGACATACAGATGTATCTCTCTTAGTATATATATATGTACAATGTATGTGTGTGTATATATGTGTGTTATGTGTGTATGTGTGTATGTATATGTGTGTATGTATATATGTATACCAGTTTTACCCCTATATATATATATCCATTCTTTAAAGTTTATTTTTCTATTTCATCATTATGCAAGTGTTCTCCCTCATCCAAACTAAACCCAATTCTTAACACTTTAGGTGTTCCAAAGTCCTGAACTTCACTGATGTCCCTTTTTCCTGGTTTTCCAATTTCTTTTGATAAGTTTGTCCTTACCAGTGTCATTTGAACACATGATAAACATAGTAACTTTGTCTTTATCCCTTCTTACCCTGTAGTTAATTATCTTTCTTTATACCCATTCATCACCATTCTTTGTGAACTTTTATTCCACTTTGGGCCCATTACAAAATTTATTGAAACATGGCTTTGACCCTTACAATTCCATTCAATCAATTCTGCTAAAATTATTAATAACTTTAAAAATAATCAGGTTTCACCAATCAATTTTCTTGTACTCAGCTGTTTTTGACATGGTTGAATCTGTATGAAGCATTATTTTGCATAGGTAATTCTCCTACTTTGGGGTCACTCATCTTCCATTTTTTGTAGCTGTGCTTTTTTTATAATACCTTAAATATTTTTTCTACCATATCTACATTTGAATAAATAGCCCCCACCATCATCCCATCAGTAGCAGAAGCCAAATTGGCTTTACTGACGAGACCAACCTAACTGGTATCTGTTTATGTGTCTATCTGTTCATCTAGCTATCTATCCAAACACACACACACACACACACACACACACACACATATATACACACATGCACACGCACACACACACACAGAGATGGGGTGGAGAGAGAGAGAGAGAGAAAGAGAGAGAGAGAGATCTCCCTTACAGAGAAAAGAAAACAATTTAATATATGCCGATTTCAGAAAACAATATGAATCCAAAATACGTTTGTGCTGGTTAATTACCAACCATAAGAAAAATTATTCTGATTTATTGGGTTTATCTTCTTTAGGTTGTGGTTTGAGACTGCAGCTGAGCCTTTGGAGCTAAAATTGGAGACATTTTTCTATGATTTCTGTAATCACCTTGGGAAAGAGAAACAAGTGGGAAGCGATATTACTTGGCTGGAAATGAAATTGAGAGAAGGAAAAACTTTGAAAGATCTGAATCTGGATACACTTGGGGATTTTGTGGTTAGAATTTTGCCTGTTGGTTAGGATCTCACCTGCTTGTTTGATTCTCCTTAAGATGAAAAAGAGTGTTGCCTCCAAAGCTGAGATAGAGCAAGGGACTGACAAGCACTGAGAATGTGATGTGTCAGAGGCCATGCAAACTGCAATAGTAGACATGCCTGAAAAAACACTTCACGTCTTTCCACCCAGGATGGTGTTAAATTAAAAAGCCAAGTTTTCTGCACCCAAAAAAGGCACAGGGATTGGCAAACAAACAAAAAACTGTCCAGCAGGTCTGAGGGATCTCATACTCATCACAGAGAAAGTGGTGTAATTCTCCAGCTTTCGGATAGAAAAACTCTAGATCTTGTGATTGTATGATATATGCAGGGCTCAGACAGAGGGGGTACTATGTCAGAGAAACCAACGCATACGTAAAGTCAGTATGGGACCAAACATCTTCTATCATTTTTTCATTACAAAAAAGCCAACTAGGCATCTCCTGAACATAGAGACAGACCAGTAAGATGGAAGAGGAGAGAAACACACACTATTTGAACTGATTTCAAACATGACATTACTGCAAAAATACACAGCTTGACAGAATGTACAACTTGGAAGTGCATAGATGAACATTTCTGTCATCATTTTGGAGTTACTGGTATCCTTGATAAGAATATATTTAATAGGACTGCATCCAGACTGCAGTGGTCTAAAGATTGAAGAGCTCATGTAGAAAGGGATCAGGTCTTAGTTAATTTCACTGAATTGTTTCTATTAAAGCCAGACACTGTCCTGGGGTAGAAGTGTTATTATTCCATTTCTAAAGGTGAAAAAATGTAATTTTACTGAATTTAACCAGTCTTTAATCATGCAGCTATTAGTTGATGATGTCACAATTTGAACTTCTAATTTCCTGAATGAACTCTATGTATGTATACTTATTGAATTATATATGCATTAAAATCATATTTGATTGACTAATTTACTAATACCTAGTAAATTAATTGTTCAATAATTCTCATTCATAATGTTACTGAGTTGATTTTAATTTTATTAAGATCTCAAAATATTTGGCATATTGATCTTCATCATGTAAAATGCAGCTCAGGATCAAGTGGCATTATCTTTCTAGCCTGAGATCATGTAACATGCCCAAATGCATATGTACTGCAGGAATGCTGAACTTCTGGCATAATTAGATACTTTCTAATTTCAACTGCATGATGTTTCTCTTGAATAAAACATACTTTTTGTCCCTTTGTCAACAGAGGACAGTTCCTTTTTTATTGTCAAAAGAACCCAGGTTTGCAAATATTAATTTTTTGAAAATAATTCTAGCATTCCAAGAAGACCTGAGAAATTTCTCCTCTGATTTTTCATGTATATACTGCCATTAGAGACTTGTCTTATTTTGTAAGCATAAAATCATTTATCTATTCCCTATGGTATATTGTTCAGAAGGGTATCTATAATCTTTGTGGCACTAGTACCTATTACAACGACACAATTGATAAATATGTAATCATTTAATAGCTAGATATAGAATTAAAGTAAATCTCTGAGTGTTCTAAAGAATCATTCATTGTTTTTTTAAAAAAAGCGTGCTCTCCTGAAAATCAAATCCATCCCTATATAATATTATTTTCTACCCTGTTGATGCCATCTGTTACTTAAAGCTACCCAATTTGTTTTGCATTCTCTTTCTATACCTTGATAATTTCCCACACCGTAAGTTCTACCTCCTCAAACAGAATCCAGAAAGCATCCATGTTCAAGACTCCTTCTAAGTAGACTACAAGCATTTAATTCAAGTTTCTCCAGTGAAATGCAACCAAGCAAGTCTTGGATATAGCAGTGATCAACATCTAACAGAAGATCAGTTTTTTGTCAACCACTCTGATAAGGGTGCTCTGTTTCTTGGGGGTAGCAATGGCAGAATTGCTGTTACCAATTGTTGAATGCCTTAGAAGTCAACAAATAATGGCTATCATTTCAACATAGAAAAATCCCTATGATGTGTAGGGCATTGTTGCTGCCTCTGCCTGGCTCTTTGGCTTTAGCAGAGATTTTTTAAGTTTCCAATGAAGCTTAAATGAATTACATTTCTGGTTAAGTAACTCAGAGAGGATTCCGTTTTGAGGAACCAGGAATTCTGAACAATAAAAACTGATGTTACAGTACATGCTTGTTCATAGAAAGTTATTTTGATAATAGTGATAATATACTACAAACCTTTACATACATCTTTTTAATTTTTAGCATATATGCTGCAATAGGAAAGTCAGCAAATTGGGACAATTTCATTTCTTTTCGAGCCTACTATATGATTCTCTTGTGAGGCATAGATTTGCTTTTCATATACAGTTTTCATTAAGCAAACTGCCAGCAGCTCAGGAAAAGAGGGTTGAGAATTTCCAGTTGACTTCCTCAAGCAGACAAACATATTTGTCTTAGACTTAGACTAGCCACAAAGATAGATTCCTGCAAAGAGTATGAGTATATAATGTTAATTGTCTGAGTCAATCTGGAAGTTCGAATAGTGTGAGTGCTCAGGTGAGGTTTGCACCTGTTTTCAATATCTGTGACAAATGCACATGGAAAATCCCATTTCTTTCCCACTGGAACTCCATAAGCAGCTAGAAAGTAATAAGTGCCTATGCAAATAAAGAAGAAAAATATTTATGCTTGCATAAAGCCAATACAATATTCATTGTTATTTAATGAATTAAAATTAAAATTCCATAAATATGTATTTTAAGTAACATGATTATTTGCCATACATTTTATTTCTATATTAATAACTTTTGTAACTCTCCACAATCATAATTTTACAATCAGTTCACTTAAACAAATGTTAATTGGAGAGCTACAATATACTATAAAGTTTATGGTGAACTATACATGATATGAATGCAAAGATTTAATAAAACACAGCCTAGGCCTTGATAAAATAACACTGCAGAAACAAAATGAATAAAATTAAAGAAATGTCATTTTACTTGTACTTCATGCTATGGAATGTGTAGGAATTTTCACCAGTGTTTTACTTAGTGCTCATCACAGGCCTATAATTGAGATTTCAAAAACATTTAAATAATCTGTTCACGAGTACATAGATAGTAGGTTTTGTTGTGGTTTAGGGAGAAGCATAGATTCGGCTCATGTTTTGATGATTTCCAGAACTTAGTCCTTTTCTCTTCATCAGTAGTTCTTACCCTTTTGTTTGTAACAATTAAGTATAGCATATTATTAGGTCTCAAAATTTTAAATATATTTTAACATTTATATAGTATTAAATTACATCACTGATCATAGAGAGGGCAAATATGTGGAATATTATTACAATAGTCCAGAGAGAATAAATGAGTTTATTGCTAGAAATGAGCATGAAGCATAACACAGTGACAGGCTGTAAAGCCTAGGTTAGAAAGGTAACCAACAATGCATAGAGACAGACAAAAACATGAGTAAATATAAAAATAATAATATCTATCATTTACTAATAATTCATATATTTTTACTCCTGTGAAGAGTTTTCCATGGATTGGCTTATTTAATTATCATCCTATAACTTCATGTACAGATAAAGTCTCTTTTATTTTAGTTATTTATTTAGAAACAGGGTCACATGTTGCTGTCCCTAGAGTGCAGTGATGCATTCTAGCTCCGTACATCCTTATACTCTTGAGCTCAAGTGACCTTCCCACCTTAGCCTCCCAAGTAGCTAGGACTGGAGGTACATTCCACCATGTCTTGCTAATTCTTATTTTTTGTAAAGACAGGGTCTCTATAAGTTGCCCAGGCTGGTCTAGAACTCTTGGCCTCAAGGGATTCCCACCACTTCCAGCCTGTATATAAAGTCTGTAAGGCAAAGGAGCTCAATACTTTACCCCCAAATAACTTAGCAAGTAGGGGTGGATCCAGAATTATAACCCCAGAGTCTAGCTTCAAGTTGATGTTCTTATACCCTATATTAAACAAAAACTTACCTGATGTATCTTAAATATAATGTTTGCATAAATAGTTCTCTCAGACACTATTCAGAGTAGCAAAGACATGGAATCAACTTAGATGTCCATCAACAGTGGACTAGTTAAAGAAAATGTGGTACATATACACCATGGAATACTATGCAGCCATTAAAAAGAATGAAATAACATCCTTTGCAGCATAATAGATGCAGCTGGAGGTCATTATCATAAGCAAATGATGGCAAGAATGAAAAACCAAATACTGCATGTTCTCACCTATAAGTAGAAGCTACATACTGAGTACACATGTATATAAAGATGGAAACAATAGACACGGGGGACTACTGGAGGTGGGAGGATGGGAGCGGAGTGAGGGTTAAGAACTATCTGTTGAGTACTATACTCACTCTCTGGGTGACAGGTTCATTCTCATGCTAAACCTAACTGACATGCAATTTACCCATGTGACAAACCTGCACATGTATCCCCTGAAACTAAAATAAAAATTAAAAAAAAAAAACAAAAAAAAAACAAGAATGCACATAAGGATGACCTTGAGGGCTCATGTAAAAAGCAATAACAATACACTCAAGGACAGATATAAGCAAAGGACATCATTTTTAATTTTAGCATAAAAGAAAGGACTCAGTAGAATTTCCATAAGACTAAATACATAAAAAGAAAGAGAAATTTAGAATGAAACAAAATAAAAATTAGCATCTTCATCTTATCCATTATAGATTTTCTTTAACAAATTAGAAATAAAGATTTGGGCATTAAAGTGACAAATTCACTTTATTTACCCTCTGAAGAAAAGGCCATGTTGGTTATATGAAGCCCACAAACATAAAATCATCTAAAATAGAAATATAAATGCATCTCCAAAGTATAATTTTAAACATCAATTCTAACTCTATCTCTACATTCTAACCAAACAGATATCTTTGCCCGAGAGATATTACCACTTTCATTTGCATTTCTTCTAGCTAGCCAGAATTAAACAGTTCCTTCTGTCCATTTATTTACAGTTTTAGAAAGTTGAAACCAATGCAAAATAATTCATTAATTACATGGCTTCTAGCAAAATTTTGGCTTTTACCAGACATCTTGAGAGCTAAATTTTGCTAATAATGCTTCCGAAAGTGATTTCTGATATACACAACAAATGCAGGATTACCTCTTTCCAACTGTTTAGGTGTTCTCTACTATAATGGAACACAATTTTACTTTCACATCTTTTCTTCTCATCTTACACAGATGAAATTCTGACTTATTGATGGGAGTTGAACAATGAGAACACATGGACACAGGGAGGGGAACAACACACACTGGGGCCTGTCAGGAGAGGGTGGAGTGAGAGGTGTGAAAACATCAGGAAAAATAGCTGATGCATGCTGGGCTTAATACCTAGGTGATGGGTTGATAGGTGCAGCAAACCACCATGGCACACATTTATCTGTGTAACAAACATTCACATCCTGCACATGTAACCCGGAACTTAAAATAATAATAATAATAATAAAAGAAATCGGTTTTCTTCCTCTTTTAGTTTATTTCTGATAGTAGTTTGGGTACTTCAAGTGATAACCTTAAATATAAAGTAATGGAAATTACCAGTAGATAATAAGGATGCTAGAGCCACTTTACTGAAATGGCTTTCAGAACCCCTTCACATGTTTTACTTAAGGGAAAAATAGCCATGAATATGATACAACCCAAAGAAAGAAATATTATGGGTATAAAAAGCAACAGCCTTATTTTAAAGCACTTTAATGTATTCCACAAAAATATAAAGTTACTTAAAGTTGTTATGTGTTACTTAAAAAACTTATTTATTCGACCAGGCGTGGTGGCTCACGCCTGTAATCCCAGCACTTTGGGAGGCCAGGGTGGGTGGATCACAAGGTCAGGAGATCGAGACAATCCTGGCTAACAAGATGAAACCCCATCTCTACTAAACATACAGAAATTAGCCGGGTGTGGTGGCGGGCGCCTGTAGTCCCAGCTACTCGGGAGGCTGAGGCAGGAGAATGGCGTGAACCCAGGAGGTGGAGCTTGCAGTGAGCCGTGATCATACCACTGCATTCCAGTCTGGGCAACAGAGCAAGACTCTGTCTCAAAACAAAACAAAATGTATTTATTCAATATAATGTAACTATAATTCTATCTGGAATCAAAACCTGTTTAAATGTCTTACAAGTAAATTATTTGAGTTATTGAAATGAAGCAATTGTGAAAATTTTCTTTGAGATTATTACTAATTTTACTTTAGTCATTATTTTGTTTTAATATATTAATTTTCATTATTTATATAAAAATAGCATCTATCCAAATTTTCGCTATCAAAACCAGAAATAATTGTATCAATAATATGTAATTTTTAAGAGCTTCATTATTAAATCAGGGAAAGTTAGAACAAATAAAGACTGCATATAGATAAAAATAATGTATTACCTTTTATGTGCATTTAAGACAAACAACCAAATAACACTTCAAATCTTATAGGACTAAGACTGATTTCAATATTAAAATTAACTGATTACATTTGAATTAACTAAAAACCAGTTACATCTTATTTTCATATCAAACATAACATTTCACTGAATATAAAGAGCTTTCTCTCTCCTTCCCTCCTCCTTTCACTCCCACTCTTTCCCTACCTCTGAATTTGACTGAAATAAACATTAAGAAGTACCAAACAAATGCTATATTGAGCTATAGTAAAAAGCAAATGATGTATTTCATAAGACGAATATAACCAGCACAAGTTGAAAATACACCCATACATCCCATTATTCTTCCGTCTCTTCTTAACAGAAAGGGAAACACTATCTCAATACTCAACATGTTAGTTTAATTTTGACTTTTTAAAGATTAATATAAAAGGTGCCAAAGACTATGTACTTATTTCAATATTGTGTTGGTAAAATTTTCTACAATTGTCTTCTGTAGCTGTTGTTCATTAATTTATATGACAATTTAGTATATTTTCACTCCACCGTTAATGGGAGCTTGGGCTATTTCTCACATTATTGACTATGAACAACTATTAACACTTTTATAAATATATATTGGTGTAGGTGATGTAAAAATTTGTAATACATTTTAATAATACTATCAATATGTTTCTGTCCAAATTTTACATAATTACACATTCACTTATGAACAAGAGTTAAACTTACTCAACATCATTGCATAAACTTATAAATAATATTCAATTATATTTATAACAAATAAAATATAATTATTAATATCATATATGTAATACGATACAATGTTAGGCAGCGCAATACAATTTAATATGGCATACCTATTCCTCTAAGTTTACAATGATTTGCATTTCCTGAGCTAATAATTTTGAATATTCTTTTGTAATGTTATTGATCATTTTCACAAGATTTTTTAACAAAGAAATTGTATTACTTTTTGCCTATATGTTTCCAAATAGTTTTCTCTCTTTTTATTATTGATTTGCAGGGTTTTTTTTTTTCAAATATTGTCTTAATAAAAGCTCTTTGTTAATAATGTGTTGCAAATTTTGTATTCTGTGTCTTACATTTTAACTTTTTTTTTTTTTCTGAGACGGAGTCTCGCTGTGTTGCCCAGGCTGGAGTGCAGTGGCAGGATCTTGGCTCACTGCAAGCTCCGTCTCCCGGGTTCACGCCACTCTCCTGCCTCAGCCTCCCTAGTAGCTGGGACTATAGGCGCCCGTCACCATGCCTGGCTAATTTTTTGTATTTTTAGTAGAGACGGGGTTTCACCATGTTAGCCAGAATGGTCTCGATTTCCTGACCTCGTGATCTGCCCGCCTCGGCCTCCCAAAGTGCTGGGATTACAGGCATATTTTAACTTTTTGAATGATATTTTTAAATAAAAATAAATTTGAAATTTTGATTTAGTTAAATATAGATATATATTTCCCTTATATTTAATGCTTTCTGTGTCCCAATAAAGAAATCTATCCTCAAACCAAATTAACACATTATTTCTTCTCACGGCTGTAATCCCAGCACTTTGGGAGGCAGAGGAGAACTGATCACGAAGTCAGGTGATCAAGACCATCCTGGCTAACACAGTGAAACCCTGTCTCTACTAAAAATACAAAAAAAAAAAAAAATTAGTTGGGCGTAGTGGCACGCACCTGCAGTCCCAGCTAGTAGGGAGGCTGAGGCAGGAGGAGAATGGCTTGAACCCGGGAGGCATAGTTTGCAGTGAGTCGAGATCTTGCCATTGCACTCCAGCCTGGGCGACAGACAAAGACCCTATCTCAAAAAATAAAAAAAGATATTATATCTTAAGGTCAATGAATTTCAACACTTGTCTATTACATTATGAAAAAAAACTCTAGCCTCATTTATTTCCATTTAAAGTCCAATTTACTCAATAGGAATTTACTGGGTTGGGGGAAAGTAATACTGCTACAGAGCAGAAAGTTTGTAAAAAACAAAATGACCCGCTGGGCGCGGTGGCTCACGCCCGTAATCCCACCGCTTTGGGAGGCCGAGGCGGGTGCATCACTTGAGGTCAGGAGTTTCAGACCAGCCTACCCAACATGGCGGAACCCCGTCTCTACTAAAAATGCAAAAATTAGCCCAGCGTGGTGGCGCGTGCCCTTAGTCCCAGCTACTCAGGAGGCTGAGGCAAGGAGAATGGCTTGAACCCGGGAGGCGGAGGTTGCAGTGATCTAAGATAGCGCCACCGCACTCCAGCCTGGGTGACAGAGTGAGTATCTGTCTCAAAAAAAAAATTATCTGTAGATCTGTTTCTGGCCTCTGTTCTACTCTTTTTGCCTATTTGTTTATACTGATGTCCAAACTACACTATCTTGGTTACTGTTGCTTTCCGCTAAATTTTGGTATCTGGTATAGAAAGTACACTCCTTTTGTTTTTCTCTGTGGCCATTCTTGACTCATCCCTCATCTCATAGAGAAAGCTGTATTTTTTTTTCTGTAGGTTTCATTTAGGTATACTCTACCAAATTCATGAGCGGATGATATTAATTAAATATCTTTTCTAAGTCTATAAAGCTGATTATTAAATAGTATGTTTTATCTACATGTAACATAGATGATATATTTGATTGGTACAAAAGTGATAACATTGTGTATTATATTTTGGTTACTAGGCTCAATTATGTTATTATTTTTTATTACTAAACTAATTTTGTTTTTTGTAATAAATGGAATTCATTTTGGTGTATTTTTCATATGCCTGCATTGTTTAATAATTTATTTTGGAATTTACATATGTAGACATAATGTTACTGGCATTTAATTTTTTCTCTTAATGCTCTTACAAGTTTTGATAATGAGTTCACACTAGTCTGACAAAATCAATTGTGAACTGACCGTACTTGTCCTCCTTAGGAGAATTTATGTACAATAGATATAATTTCTTTTTTAAACATTCAGTTGAATTTGCTAGAAAAGATATCTGGACCTAGGGTGCTTGTTCTGGGAAAGTAATCTGCTTACTTGTTTGTTTCAAGTTTCAAATTTTATCTTTCATATTAGCTATTAAATGTGTTATTGAAGTAAAATATACATAATAGAAGCTAAACATAGATAGCATAAATGTACAGCCTATTGTATCAAAAGAATGTATTCATACAGCAAGCTTCTCCATCAAGAAACAGTGTTTTCAGCACCCCTGGAGACCTTTCTGTGCTTCCTTCCAGTCACTTGACCCCTAGGAATACCTTCATCCTTCTAACAGAATAGGTTATTTTTGCCCACTTTTTAAATTTTATATAAATGAAATCATGCAGTTTGTACTTTTTGCTGCCTAGATTCTTTCAGTCAATATTATATTTGTGAGATACATTAACATTGTTATGTAGAATTGTAGATTCTTTACTTTTTCTTGCTATATAGTATTCCACTGTATAAATCATACCACCAACTATTTAGTAATTTCATTGGTGTTAGTGGGCATTTGGGAGCTGTTGCAAGTTGTGTTACTGTGTACATTACAGTCCACATGTTTTCATAAAAATATTTGTTCATTTTGGAAGGTACCTATACCTAGGAGTAGAATGCGAGTTCATAGAGCATTCCCATGTCTGTTTTAGCACATATCGCCAAACATTCTGCAAAAATGATTCACCAACGGATAGCCTCAGTGCCATCAATAGGAGTTATGATTGTATCACATGCTCGCCAGAACTTAATGTCTCCAATTTTTAAAATTCCTTATTTGGTATGTGGAATTGGAAAAGTTGGAAAACATATGTTTTGGTCTAATTTGCATGTTGATAATGAATAACGATATTTTTCAACTTTTGAATACTTGTTATTTGGATATCCTTTTGTGCAAAGTGTTTGTTCATATTTTTAAGAACAAATTTTTCTATTGCTTCTTTGACTTTAATTTTGGGTTTGAAAACAGGTGAGATTTATGTCTGCTTGAAAAGCAGATTTGATTGTAACCAAATTGTAGATATCTATGGAAATTTGAGCAACTCCATATGGAAAATTACATTTTAAGTTTGAAGTTATATGAAAAACTGCTAATAAAGAGGATTTACCCATTCTTCAATGGGATTAGAATTTAAAGGCTGAGAACTGAAAATAAATACATAAAAATGTCCTAAATCTTACCAAGCTTTTTTTGGCTGCCTGAAATGAAATAGGTTCTGATGACAATTTACACAATATTCCACCATTATTGATAACAAAATAAATCTTGGTTGATTTTTTTAATACAATTCATATTAAAACACACTGTTACTTGAAACATCTTGAATTTCAACAAAACATGACAAATTCGTGTTGGACTTAAACAAGATTTAATCATAATATTAAGCTTTTAAACTAAGGTGTTAGAATTTCATTTAGAATACTTAAAAATAATCTTTAGTAAACTAATCTGATCTATCTGTAGCTGAAATATAACACATCTATTTAATCAAAAGCATTTTTGTGTGTGTTATACACACAAATGTTATACAGATGTGTTACAGTGTATAAAGTTATATTTGATACTACTTTTTAAAATTACCCTAAGAAAAAAAATCTCTAAAAGTCTTTTGCCTTTGGAATATTGATAACCATAGTATAGTTGAGAAGAAAATATTCTCTAATAGTATAATTTAAAAACATAATATATGATTGATAAAGAAATTTGAACATTTAATTTTGTAAAATGTTAACTTAGAAACATTTATATTTCTTTGTGTGTGTGTGTTTATATTAGAATTATTAGTGGAATACCATCTAATCAGTTAAAAAGAATATATGGATACACATATATTTATACACATTTATATATGCACACATGATATATATTTAATACACATATATACATATACATACACTCCACATGAACACATACAAATGCACACACACACTTTAACAATATAGTTAACTTTTCAAATATTGACATTTTTCTAGGTCGTTGCAACATTTATCTTAAACTAAAAAAAGATTTGCTTAACTCTTGTTTGCTTATAAAAACGTTAAAATTAAACATGCAAGTGAAAGAACTTTCTTATTTTGTCATATTTGTGCCTGGTAAAATTAACATTAAAAGAATATCATAGCTTAGAAGTATTCATATAAGTTTAAGAAATCCAAAAGTATAATCCTAACACAACTCCACAAATATATTAGGGTATCACATAGTTACATAAGAAGATATTTACATCTTACCCTCTGTATTTGAATAAAATATTTTTTGTTTAAAAAATTGTGGATCACTTTTTGCATTTTAGTTTCCTTTGTAATTTGTGTTTCATGATGTCAATATTTCTACAGATTTAAATAAGAACATGTGTACATAAACATATAAGTAATACAAAAAGCAATTTCCTTCTTGTTTAGTTGAGGTTGGAATAGAAACTCTATTTGTAAGTGACTAAAGTTAGCACTACAAAAAATAAAAGACATTAGTTTATTGTGGTGAAAACAAAGACATGTATTAGCTCCAGAGACCATAAATATGCTACCAGGGATGCAATGAATTAGAAAATAAATAGAACGTTTATACCAACTTTTATAATGGAAGGGATAGCTGTTTTTAAAACAGTTTTAACAATCATGCTTTTCAGTTTTCCATACATACTTTTTAAGCCCTAAGAATACAATTTTATTTATCATTAAACTTGATAAATAGTGTGATGCAATAGAGTTGCAAAACTTATTTTCCACTATAATGCTGATGTGCCTAGAAAGCATAATTTTTAAATTACTCTATAATTAATCTTACATAACAAAAGGGTCTATGTAAGGATGAGAAAGAAAAATAAACTCTGTTCTATTTGGTCAAAAATTATATGACACATGATTTTTATTTTTAAAATTTTTATAGATACATGACAGTTGTACATATTTATGGAGTACATGTGATATTTTTATGTAAACATACTATATACATTGATCAAATCAAGGTAAGTGGAATATCCATCACCTCAAGCATTGATTATTTCTTTGTGTTAGGAGCATTCCAGTTCCTTTCTTCTAGTTCTTCTGAAATACTCAATAAATTATTGCTAAACATAGTCGCTGAATTGTGCTACCCAAAACTGAATCACATTCCTTCTAGCTAACTACATTTTTGTGCCCATTAACCATTCCCTTTTTATCCCCTGCCACTACCCTTCTGAGCCTCTGTTAACCATGATTGATTCTGTCTATCTCCAAAAGATGTTTTTTTTTTAATCTCCCACATATGAGTGCAAACATGCAAAGTTTATTTTTCTGTGCCTGCCTTATTTAACTTACCATAATGTCTTCCAGTTCATTTTATGTTATGGTTGCAAATAACAGGATATCATTCTTTTTATGTCTGCATAAAATTCCACTGTGTATGTGTACCACATTTTCTTTATCCCTTTATATCTTGATGGGCACTGACTTAGGTTGATTCAAAATCTTGGCTATTGTGAATAATGCTGCAATAGACATGGGAGTGCAGATCTTTTTGATCTGCTGAGTTTCTTCCTTTGTATATATATCCAGAAGTCATATTGCTGGATCCAGTTATTTTTGACAAAGACATTAAGAACATAAATTGAAGAAAGGACAGATTATTTAATAATGATGCTGGGGAAACCAGATACCCTTATGCAGAAGAAAGAAACTAAACCCTGTCTCTTACCATATACAAAACCCAAATAAGAATGGATTAAATACTGAAATATAAAACCCGAAATATGAAGCTACAAGAAGATAATTTTGCAGAAACACCCAGGACATGGGTCTAGACATAGATTTGTTGAGTAAGACCTAAAAAGCACAGGCAACCTAAGCAAAAAAGAAATGAACTCATATCAAGTTAAAAAGACTTTGCACAGTAAAGAAAAAAAAAAGAAACAGAATAAAGAGACAAACTACAGAATGGGAGAAAATATTTGCAAACTATGTATCTGATGAATAATTAATAACCAGACTACATAATATATAACTACATATGTATGCTACATACGTAGCAAAAATCAAATAACCCAATTCAATAATGGCAAAAGATCTGAACAGATATTTCTCAAAATAAGATATACAAATGGCCAACAGGAATATGAAAAATATTCAACATCAGTAATCATCAGAGAAATATAAATAAAAACTACAATGAGATATCATCTTAT
The DNA here is from genome assembly GCF_000001405.40 of Homo sapiens. Lineage (NCBI taxonomy): Eukaryota > Metazoa > Chordata > Mammalia > Primates > Hominidae > Homo > Homo sapiens. Next base: position 83,141,908 of record NC_000013.11, read on the forward strand.
CCCAGTTGAAATGGTTTTTATCAAAAAGACAGATAATAAGCAATGCTGGCAAGAATTTGAAGGACAAATCCTGAATCACTGTCGGTGGAAAAGTACATTACAGCAGCCACTATGGAGAACAATATGGAGGTTCCTCAGAAAACTAAAACTAGAGTTACCATATCGTACCATGTTTTTGATAGTCCCTTTTTTAAATAGTGTAAATAACTTCTCGATAAAATTGTATCATCACTCAGTATCCTTTTTCTCTTTTTCTATACCTTCAATGGCAAATTTCTTGGAGAATGTCAACTATCTATGTTGATCATCTGACTTACTGTCCAATCTGGAATACTTGGACAATGAAAAGAATTGCTGTACTCTTTCAAGAGTTACTTCCAAATTTTATAATTAAAAAATTATTTTAATTGACAAAATAATTATGCATCTTTATGGTGTGCAGTGTAATATTTCAATACAGTATATAATATGTAATAATCGAATTAGAATAATTAGCATACCATCCCTTAGACATTTATAATTTCTTTATGATGAGAACGTTCAAAATCCTCTCTTCCATATAATTTAAAATATATTATTGTTAACAATAATCACCATAATGTGCAATGGAACACTGGAATGTATTCCTCTAACTGGAACTTTGTACCCAGTGACCATCCTCTCCTCATCCAACTCCCACCCTCCCCAGCCTTTGGTACTCACTTTTCTACTCTCTACTTTTATGAGATCAACTTTTTTTAGGTTCCACGTATGGGTAAGATCATGTGGTATTTGTCTTTCTGTGCTTGGTTAATTTCACTTAACAAAATGTCCTCCAGGTTCATCCACTTGTTCAGTGTTTTGCTGGTTTTTAATTATAGCTCTGTCAATGTCGGTCATAGTGCTGGTTCACTGGTTCTTAATTCTAAATCCAAGGGTTCGGGGAGGCTTATGGTTCCTTCTTCCTAAATACATGGAGCTCACAGTGTTCTATGGTGATATCTATGCACCAATATTATTTTAGTTAGTTTAGTTTAGTCTTTATTTTGGGTTCTAGGAACATGTGCAGGATACGCAGGTTTGTTACACAGGTAAACGTGTGCCGTGGTGGTATGCTGCACCTATCAAGCCATCACCTAGTTATTAAACCCAGCATGCATTAACTACAAGCATTCTGGGTAGCCACTCCCTGATTTTCACATGGAAGAAAAGGTCAGCACCTCCTATCTCTGCCCTCCTAGTGCCTTCCCTGTTGTAACCCAAATTTCCCTATTTTAGTCTAAGGCTACGTAGAGGGAAAATAGAACTCACATTCAAATCTCATATTCATTCTCTCTCTCTTTCTCTCTCTTTTTCTTCTCATCCATCTAATCCCACCAGACCAGAAAATAATGCTTCTTTTCTACCAAAAATTAACAGTAAAAACATGTAGATGATGCCTACCCTGCATCTCATGGAGAATATTGTTATCTGTTTCCTGCCAATTTATTATTGATGTACTAACACCAAAGGTTGCAGAAAATCCAAAAATCCTCTCATTATAACAAACTGATTGAGGACATTGTACTCTCTAAAATATAATTTTTCATATTGGAACATTAATATAATTTCCCTACTGTATGTCCACCCCTCTATGACATATCTTAATCACCACGTTCCTTTTATAATTTATGTTTACCTCTTCTCATGAGGTGAAAATTTTAGGTACATCAGGCAAAAGAGAAAAGCAAATAAATAATAAATAATCTTGTATCTATAGGAATACATAACTCGAAGTTTTGCATGGAGTAAACAAAATAATTAATGTAATTTAGAGAGCAAATTCTGTTTAGTATATGTTTAAAGAAAGAGCTATCATTTCCACATCTTTCTTTAGTAAATCTAGATGTTCATAATACTTTCATAAAATTATTTCCATAATTTCGTATTTTTCCTAACATGAATAATAAATATAATTTTCTAAAACACAAAATATTTTCTACTATATTTTTCTACATAATAAGTATATAGTCTCTGTAATTTTACAAATTATTTTTCCTTATTGTATTATTTTAAGAAGAAATTCACATTCCAAATGAATCTATTTAAAAAAAAACAGTGAATGCAATACTAGCAACTCTAGTTTTTAATCTCGCCAATAAACCCTGTCACTGGTGACAATAGAAAACTTAAATGATAGTTAAGAAAAGTTTATATCTATTGCTTTTTAAATTAATATATTTGAAAGACGTTGTAGTGGATCTATTTTCCACAAAAACAAATAAACATTCAATATTAGCAGCAGTAGCAATTATAACAGAAGATCAAGATATGTTTGTACCTTCAAATATAATGCCTTAAAAGGCGATAAAGCAGAAATTTTCAGATTAAAGTTTCTATTATTAAGCACACAATTAGTATTAACACTGATAATGCTGAACATTTCAAGTAGGAAAATTATGCTTCATATGAAGATAGTACAAAAGTGATTAGATATTAAGGAGAACAAAATAATTTTTACTGTTAAAATAACCAAGTTATAAATAACATTTTGGACTTTTTTTGTTGAAGGGGACATTTAATATTCAGAGTCAGCCTTGTTAGAGAATAATTTATGTGTTTATTTTGCAATATGCACACTTCCAATTGTCTTTGTCACTTCCTTGATATGTACCCTGCCATATAATTACTTGAAAAAAATATCATATAACCCACTGTTAGAGAAATGTTAATGCTGTTAAACTTCTAATATATGTCTTGGATGCTCCAACTGCTTCACAAATGAAATTCTTGCATGTCATTCATTGTATGTCTGCCTCAAAACCAGTTGTTTCACATCCTGCCCTATCACTTCTTTACTTTTTCCGTGGTCACTAAGGAACGTTAATGGTACCTGAAAAAAGTCATGGGCTTCACAGAAGATCTCTACTTCATTCTTCATCTTAGAAAATGTTTTGTGTGCACTTCAGCAACAAACTTCCAGTTTCAAATCTTGACTCCATCTCATTGTTAGGCCCTGAGCATGTTTAATATCTCTGAGCCTCAATTTCTTCTTGTAAAAAGGCCAAATATTATCCATGTTATATTGTTATGCCATGTTAAAAGTTAACATAAGTGAAGTACTTATAACTTCAGATACAACATAAACAAGGGTTGTTTAGCCTATTGGTCAATAATTTCCACATTTATCTTAATATGTGCCTTAGTGACCAGGTTTTATAATAATAATTTTGTTTTCATATTCAAAAATTTGGATTTATATGTGTATCTAATGGATTAAGCTTTTATTTTTCTATATATTATATGCAATTTTATACTATATTTCCAAAAAGGCAACCAATATTTGAAGATCACCAATTCAATAATAATTAGCCTTAGGGGAAGAATATTGTGTCCTTAGATGCATTTTAATGTGTTTGATTAATTACAATTGATTTTGCCTAAGAATTCTTACAATTATAGTATTTAAATTGTTAGAAAATCATCTAAATATATATGTATGCAAGTTTGCTTGTGAAAATAAAATATGCAAGTGTGGAAAACCGTTAGGCAGTCTTGAAGGAAACTGAGATATTATGTATTTCCTAGAACCATGTGTTTACTATTTAGATTGGAACTATGTTAATATTTAGGAATGTAGTATGATTATAAACACACACACACGTCTGCACACACATAGTCACAGTGCTCGTCAATGCTCGTCATGGCTGCACATTTCCCCAAAGAGGTCTTCAGAACATTCAGAAACCCATTTTTACTGAGGATGCACCAGGGCGAGCATTTCTGAGAGGTGATTACATGGATCCGGAGCCTGCTGAGCATCCAGGAGAAGGAATTTGAGAAGTTTAAATTAGCATTTGTAATGATGGGCCGACTCCAGTATAAATGAAGACGAGTATGAAGTAAATTTGAAAGACTTTGAGCCACAGCCTGGTAACATGTCTCATCCTCAGCCTTGGATAGGGCTCAACCACTTCAACACAGTCCCAAAGAGGAGTAGCTACACTTACCTTGCACAGGCTATTAAAATCCATAACTGACTTCCAAGCCAGTGTATTCAAGGCAAGGATGGTGTCTGCATGTGCCCCTTAACAGCCAGGGACTTTCGCGCCCGTGCCCTCTAGCCAGAGTCTTCAGCAAGAGGATTTGTTGCTGATGTGAACTTTATTTTATTCAGTCTGTTCAGTCTGGCGTCTCCTTAGCTATTGACTGCCTTTTTGAGCAAAATGAAGGTGTTTCTATAAAATACACACGCACACACACACACACACACACAGCCTTTGCGACTGCCATTCATTTAA